>NC_000001.11:204548223-204699738 GCF_000001405.40 Homo sapiens
TATTTGTATAGCATTTTAAATGAGATTGGAAGATCTTAGACTGGCAAGAGTGTTTTGAGGCCATCTGGAATCCCAGTTTAACACATGGTTGTGCCCTTGCCTCAGTCTGGACAATTGAGTTATGACTTCTAGACTTGAAGTGCTTGGCCTTTGACCTAAAAGTAATCAAGTTCAGCTTATGTCAAATCAAATCCTGTCAAAGCCAGTTAACCGCATTAAATATTCTTTCTTGTTCCCTGTAGCTATTTTTGAATTAAGCAAAGCATTTAAAATTCATTGAGATCTAGTGTCTCCTAATTTGAATATGGAGAAGTAGGGAAAAATTACTTGGCATTCAAGGACAATAACATTTATTTTTCAGAGGGCATGATTTAGGCATACAGTTACACCTATAATTCTGGGTGCAATGAGAGTGCATGAGTAAATTTAGTCGTTTTCAAATCTCATTTGTTTTAGCTTTCTTTTTTGCCAAACTTTATAACATTTGCTATTAGTGTAGAAAAGAATGACAGAGTATTCTCTTCATTCTTCAGCCTCTTGCCCGATAAAGGAGTAAGTTGTGCAAAGAAAAATAACTCCAAAGAAGCCCATAAGGTACAGCAAACAATGTAAATTTCACCGAGATGAGGTAGAAAGCCACCTTTCTTAAAGCCACTTTCTTAAAGATAACTATATCAGATTTTGGCTTGAAAATAGCAGTTGTGGCACTATCAGTGTAAACCTTCCAAAGACTTTCCTTCATGTGGCTGTAGAATTTGCTCAAATCCTAGGCTAGATCACTGGTGTGGAATAGCTTAGTGAGAGGATGTGAATGAATTTGACCTCCTTTCCTTTTTCTCAGCATCATATTAACCCCCTGAGTATTAATTGGCTTCACTTGTCTTTGTAGGATGAGTGGCAGTGTACTGAATGCAAGAAATTTAACTCTCCAAGCAAGAGGTACTGTTTTCGTTGTTGGGCCTTGAGGAAGGATTGGTATTCAGATTGTTCAAAGTTAACCCATTCTCTCTCCACGTCTGATATCACTGCCATACCTGAAAAGGAAAATGAAGGAAATGATGTCCCTGATTGTCGAAGAACCATTTCGGCTCCTGTCGTTAGACCTAAAGATGCGTATATAAAGAAAGAAAACTCCAAACTTTTTGATCCCTGCAACTCAGTGGAATTCTTGGATTTGGCTCACAGTTCTGAAAGCCAAGAGACCATCTCAAGCATGGGAGAACAGTTAGATAACCTTTCTGAACAGAGAACAGATACAGAAAACATGGAGGATTGCCAGAATCTCTTGAAGCCATGTAGCTTATGTGAGAAAAGACCACGAGACGGGAACATTATTCATGGAAGGACGGGCCATCTTGTCACTTGTTTTCACTGTGCCAGAAGACTAAAGAAGGCTGGGGCTTCATGCCCTATTTGCAAGAAAGAGATTCAGCTGGTTATTAAGGTTTTTATAGCATAATGGTAGTACGAACATAAAAATGCATTTATTCCGTTCACTTACCACATTATTTGAAAATCAATCCTTTATTTAATTTTATTTCCAACCTGTCAGAGAATGTTCTTAGGCATCAAAATCCAAGGTAGCTGTAAGAAAAATACTGGAGCTAACAATGAAGAACAGAAGTAATCTGATTAGTCAAATTATTAAGTGCCATGGATTACTTTATGCAGCAGTCAGGTACATAGTTAGGTGAACCCAAAAGAAAAACTCTTGAAAACAAGAGATTTCTTCCATGCACATTTACAATATTGAGGTATAATTAACATGATAAAGTGTTTCCTTCTAACGAGTTGTAGAAATCTGAGTAACCACCCAAAAAAGCAATAGAATGTTTCTGTCACCCCAAAACACTCCCTTCTGCCCCTCTTCAGACAGTCCTTCAGCTATTTCATGGCTCTCACCCTAGTTTTTTTTTTTTTTGCACTTTTTTTTTTCCGGGGGTATAGGGGAGGTGTGGGGCGACAGGGTCTGTCTTGTTCTGTCTCCCAGGCTGAAGTGCAGTGCAGTGGTATGATCATGGCTCACTGCAGCCTTGGTTTCCTGGGCATAAGTGGTCTTCCCACTTCAGCCTCCTGAGTAGCTGAGACTATAGACTAGCATAACCACACTGGCTAATTTTTTGTGGAGATGAAGTCTCACTATGTTGCCCAGGCTGGTCTCGAACTCCTGGGCTCAAACAATCCTCCCGCCTCAGCCTTCCAAATTGCTGGGATTATAGTCATGAGGCACCTAGTCTGGCCCTTTTGCAAGACTTTAATCTGAAATCTAAATTTTTAAAATTTAAGTACTTACAAAGGATATACTATCCAACATATTGCATATTATATATGTGCTTTAAAGTTTTTTTTTTTTTTTGAGAGACGGTCTCACTTTGTCATCCAAGCTGGAGTGCAGTGGTGCAAACACGGCCCACCTCCTGGGCTCAAGTGATCCTCCAGCCTCAGCTTCCCTCACAGGCATTCACTATCACTCCCAGCTAATTAAAATAATTTGTAGACGGTGTCTCGTTATGTTGCCCAGGCTGGTCTCGAACTCCTGGGTTTAAGTGATTCCCCCGCCTCAGCCTCCCAAAGTGTTGGGCTTACAGCCTTGAGCCACTATGCTTGGCTCAAAGATATTTTTATGAAAGCCCTGGGACTATAGATTTAGCTGATTAAATTTATAGAAAAAGTCCTGTCATATAAACTGGCAAAGTCTGTTCTTAATTTAATTAGCCAAATCAGACTTAACTTCCGTCAGAACATGTCTTGGTTTTAATTCAGATAAACACACAAACATACTTCTCTGGCACAGCCTTCAGAAGCATCAGTTTTTGTTTTGTTTTGTTTTGTTTTTTGAGACAGGGTCTTGCTCTGTCGCCCAGGCTGGAGTGCACTGGCACAATCACAGTTCACTGCAGCCTCGACCTCCCAGATCCAAGCAATCCTCCCACCTAAGCCTCCCAAGTAGCTGGGTCTATAGGCGCGTGCCACCACCATGCCCAGCTGAATTTTGTATTTTTTGTACAGACAGCATTTTGCCATGTTGCCCAGGCTGGTCCCAAACTTCTAGCCTCAAGCAACCCTCCTGCCTCAGCCTCTCAAAGTGCTAGGATTGCAGTCCTGAGCTACTGCCCCCTACCCTCTTTGCGTCTTAGGAGTCATTTAGATTTTTTTTGATCCTTTTGTTTAGTGCCTCTGGAGCTGCTTACACCAAGGCAATACGCCTTGATATACTGGATGGTTGAGAGGCAGCCTCTTTTTTTTTTTTTTTTTTTTTTTTTTTTTGGAGGATAGGGAGTATGGCTGTTGTGAAAAGGGAGGTAAAGAGAAATGGTAGATCTGAAGAGGCCTCATCAGAGCACATATTTTAGGACAACACATATGGAAATTGGACATCTTTAAGTTGGTTTCCATAGAGCTATGCATGTATCCTTACCCCCATGGGAAAATGTTGGTGTGTTCTCAAGGGTATGCATGTGTCATTTTGAAGACCAAGGCCCTAGAATTGTCAAACTTAAGGATCATAAAAATCATGAGGGTTGCTTGTTAAAAATGTCCAAACGTGCAGAGACTGATCTTTGAGATCTGGACCAGGAATTTGCATTTGAACAAGTGTTCCTGGAATCTCTATGCAAGTTTTATACAGAACATACTTTTGGAATCCTTGCCCTAGACAGGGGTGTCCAATCTTTTGGCTTCCCTGGTCCACAATGGAAGAAGAATTGTCTTGGACCACACATAAAATACACTAACACTAACAATAGCTGATGAGCTAAAAAAAAAAAAAAAAAAAATCGTGGACCGGGCGTAGTGGCTCACGCCTGTAATCCCAACACTTTGGGAGATCACCTAGGTCGGGAGTTTGAGACCAGCCTGACCGACATGGAGAAACCCCATTTTTACTAAAAATACAAAAAATTAGCTGGGCATGGTGGTGCATGCCTGTAGTCCCAGCTACTCAGGAGGCTGAGGCAGGAGAATCGCTTGAACCTGAGAGGGGGAGATTGCGGTGAGCTGAGATTGCGCCATTGCACCCCAGCCTGGGCAACAATAGCGAAACTGTCTCAGAAAAAAGAAAAAAAAAATCGCAAAAAGAAAAATCTCATAATGTCGTTGTTGGTTTTTTTTTTTTTTTTTGAGACAGTCTCACTCTGTTGCCCAGGCTGGAGTGCAATGGCATGATCTCTGCTCACCGCAACCTCTGCCTCCCGGGTTCAGGTGATTCTCCTGCCTCAGCCTCCCAGATAGCTGGGACTACAGGCACATACCACCATGCCTGGCTAATTTTTGTATTTTTAGTAGAGATGGGGGTTTCACTGTGTTGGCCAGGCTGGTCTCGAACTCCTGACCTCATGATCCACACACCTCGGCCTCCCAAAGTCCTGCGATTACAGGCGTGAGCTACCGCACCCAGCCAAGTTGTAATTTTTAATAAAACTTAAGAAGTAAACATTTTACTTATGTTTATAGGTATTTGATCCTAAATTTGACACATCATTGCCCATGAAAGAATCCTCTTAGGCTGCTCAGCTTCACTCTTCCTGCTTGCCCACCGGGGTTTTTCACTGCTTCTGTTAGCACTAAGTACTTAGACGATCCTAAGATATGTGCTTGAGCCGAATTTCATCTTTACTTGTAGGAAACTTTAAACTATTTCTTTTCTTTTCTTTTTTTTTTTTTTTTACTTGAGATGGAGTTTTGCTCTTGTCGCCCAGGCTGGAGTGCAGTGGAGTGATCTCGGCTCACTGCAACCTCTGCCTCCCGGGTTCAAATGATTCTCCTGCCTCAGCCTCCCAAGTAGCTGGGATTACAGGTGTGCACCACCATGTCTGGCTAATTTTGTATTTTTAGTAGAGATGGTTTCACCATGTTGGTCAGGCTGGTCTCGAACTCCTGACCTCAGGTCATCCACCCACCTCAGCCTCGCAAAGTGCTGAGATTACAGGCATGAGCCACAGCGCCCAGCTTAAACTATTTTCTTGGTCTGTTTTTGATTTTCTTTTTTCCTTGCCACTGCGGTACAGATTTTTTTTACTCACTGCCACTAAACTAAAGCAAGGCATAGTTTATATGTGAAGTGTTCAGAGTTTACTGCTATAAGGAAACTTCCAAATACTGACATTTACCTTTTAGCTGTAGTTATTGGGACCATGTGCTCTGGTTTTCTGGAGACTGCCAAATTGCTCCCATTTTTCTGCATCCCACCTGGTTTCTTTCTGCATGTCCCCTTTCACTTTCAAACCTCTTCATTTGGATGTTAAATTATATGGTCACCTAGTTATAGGTAAGCCTTGTTCGAGTTGATATCTTGATTGTGAGGAAGGATCTGTGTCATTGGAGCTTGTTTCTGCTGCAACGTGCTGTAGACTATGAATAATGAAATCACACCACATTACCATCAGATTTCTTGTTTTAGTTGTCAAATTAATATTTATGATTGTTATCTTGGGCGAAAAGTTCAGAGCAGAGATGACAAATCATTAGAACAACGATGAATTTCAGTATTACGGCTAAAAAGTTCTTCTGTCTGAATATTAACTCACTCTCCTTCCAGTGTACTTCACAGTAATTGGTATGCTTTTTTATTTAATGCTTAAATCAAACTTTATAAAAATCTTAGACCAGATCTTTAATATGGTATGCCATTTCCCCAGTCTACCAATGGAATAGTATGGGTTTCTAATCCTAGGCTTGTACAATGGATTGGAGTTGAGCCATGCCAGCCTCCACACTGCCACTAACTTCTGTAATGTAAGATTGAGTCACTGCCAAGCATTTGAAATATGCAGTTGTGTTTTAATTATAATTTATGTATAGTTAGATGTATGTAGTGCATTGTGTGGTATTATTTGGTTTGTAAGAATTTATTTTTAAGGGTCAAGGTCATTTGTAACATTTTGTGTGTGTCAATTCAATGCAATGTTGGCTGCCTTTTGAAGTCTTTGATATATTGGTGAATATTCTTCTGATCTATAATACAAAGCTATGTAATGTTACCTCTTGACTCGCTTTTGAAAGGAAGACAATTGTTAACTAGATATTTGAGTTTTTTCCCCTCAGAATTATGTGAATTTCTGATATATGGCTTTAGATACTGTGAATCTGTTTTCCATTTAGTCAGTTATCTGCTTAAATTGTTCAGAACTATATCCTAACGAGCAATTAGTTCTGATGGTTCTCCCAGTCATGAGTGTGCATGTGTGCAAGCATGTTTTGATCCTGATGCTACCTTTGCTAAAAATGGCCATAGATTAGGAACTAGCTATGTTTTTAGAATCAAAGATGAACCGGTAAGCTGTCTCATGTACCAAACGTGAAATTTACAGTGTTTACAAATGTCTGGAATTTTGCACTGCCATAGGGAATGTTAAGGTTACTTGGCTGGAATTTATCAGACTTGTGAGTAAACAAGTTGAAGTTTAGCAGATGAGGGGGAATATTGAGGCCCCTAAGGCTAAACAAAATAATCAGTATCTGAGATAGTGGCTAATGTGGCTCCCCAGGCCTAATTTGGGAACAGTTTTTCCTGATTGCTTTGAGAAGTACTTTCTTTTGACAGAAATTTTCATTCTGCTTGCCATTGCTATATTCTCCCTTTATAGGAGCCATTGGATTTCTTTCCTTTTGTGGGAAATGTCCCATTAGCATTTTCAGATCTTTTGATGTGCACTAATGCCATTATTGGTAATGCCGTTATTGGTGAATACAGCATAGTTAAATAAACTGTTACAGTAAATCTACACTTGGATTTGCTGCACCTCTACCAATAGCCTTTTGAATGACTGAAAGTGTTAACAGAGAAAGAGGCATGTCTGCAGAAAGAGATAGCTAATATTTTTTGGTACTTTATCTGAAATCCAAGATGCTGCTTCCCCTGCAGGTTGTTTTCCTTCTTACGATCCTCATTGAATCCCCTCTGGGAGCACAGGACAGTTAGTAGAACTCTCCATTTCTTTTTTTTTTTTTTTAGACGGAGTCTCTCTCTGTCGCCCCGGCTGGAGTGCAGTGGCGCGATCTCGGCTCACTGCAACCTCCGCCTCCCGGGTTCACCCCATTCTCCTGCCTCAGCCTCCCTAGTAGCTGGGACTATAGGCGCCCGCCACCACGCCTGGCTAATTTTTGTATTTTTATTGGAGACGGGGTTTCACCGTCTTAGCCAGGATGGTCTTGATCTCCTGACCTCGTGATCTGCCCACCTCAGCCTCCCAAAGTACTGGGATTACAGGCGTGAGCCACCGCGCCCGGCCGGAACTCTCCATTTCTTAAGGTAAAGAGGGTCAAGGATACCTAAAAAGGGTCAAATAATGCTAGAAGAGCAATTCCTCTTTCAGAGCAGTTGCTGTAATTTGGCAAATGCTTTATCGAAGATTGATATTAGGCTAGGGGCGGTGGCTTACGCCTGTAATCCCAGCACTTTGGGAGGCCGAGGTGGGTGGATTGCCTGAGCTCAGGAGTTCGAGACCAGTCTGACCAGTATGGTGAAACCCTGTCTCTACTAAAAATACAAAAATTAGCCGGTCGTGGTGGCGTGCACCTGTAGTCCCAGCTACTTGGCAGGTTGAGACAGGAGAATCGCTTGAACCTGGGAGGTGGAGGTTGCAGTGAGCCGAGACTGCACCACTGCGCTCCCACCTGGGTGACAGAGACTCTGTCTCAAAAAAAAGGACATTTATCATTATAACATCTTATTAGAGCCCCTAATTTCTTATCTGAAGGCACTGTTTTTTTTTTTAAACAGTTAAGTACTGATGTCAACAGACAAATATTTCTGATCAGATAGTCCCCTGTCAACAGTAGCAAATGTGGTTTCATAAAGTGGGAAGAAAACAGCATTTTAAAGTAACTTTTTGGGAGACTGATTTGAGTAATAATAAAACTCTGGTCTCCCTTAAGAAAAAAAAACCCTTCCACCTTTACTGTGTCATTTATATCCCCTTAGTTCCAAAGTTAATTATCTTATTTCTGGATATTGCTTTTATACCAAAGACCCTTATCAGCCCTTGTAACTACAGTATCTTTAGATAAGATTCCTCTTTCCAGTCAGTCCTGGGAAATGTTTCTGTTGCAGAGTTAGGCGGTAGATGGGAAGCTGTGATGGCAGAGCTACTATCTAATAAAGTAACAACTCGTAGTTGAGGCTTCCTTTCTGTGTGTGATGGGGGATAGGGAGTTAGCTCCCCTGTTGTCTCAGCACTAAGAAATTGAGGTCAGGCCAGGCGCGGTGGTTCACTCCTGTTATTCCAGCACTGGGGTGGCCAAAGTGGGCAGATTGCTTGCGCTCTGGAGCTCGAGACCAGCCTGGGCAACATGGTGAAACCCTGTCTCTACCAAAAATACAAAAAAAAAGCTGGGCATGGTGGGTGCATGCTTGTCCCAGCTACTGAGGAGGCTGAGGTGGGAGGATCGCTTGAGCCTGGGAGGTGGAGGTTGCAGTGAGCTGAGATGGCACCACTGCAATCCAAGGTGGGTGACAGAGACGCTGTCTCAAAGAAATTGAGGTCAGGCTTCCTTCTTACAGAATTATTTTTTTCTCTGTAGTTTGCCTCATTTTTTCACTTTCTTTTCAATGAGAATCGAAGTGTTTCTTTTGGGTTTTTTTTTCCCCCTTTTAAAATCAACAGGAAATGTTTCAAAGGAGGGATGAAATGCTTCTTGGCTTCCTCAGCACTTGGCAAGGTAGACCTCATAGCAACCTTGAATATGACTTTCTTTAGTCTCTAGCTATGCACTATTAAGTGCCTCTTGGGTAGAGGTAGAGTTAAGTATTGAGTGCCAGTCTTGACGTCCGTATGCCTCAGTTTTTCTCATATATAAAAAGCAGTATACATACCTACCCTTTTCTACCTCATCATTTGTTGTAGGGATTAAATCCGGGAGAGCAATTCTGAAGCCTATAAATTTCCTTGAAGAGATCTAAGAACCTATTATGCTCTTGGTGTACCAAGCTCTGGGGTATATATTCAGAATACCTCATGTTCTGGAAGCTGAGCACTAGCTCCCCTTTATTGCCTGCCTGGCAGAGCCTGTTTGATTACTGCAGGCCCTTTTACCCATGCTTCTAGTTTAGGTATTCTTTCTTTGATATGAGGCTCTTGACCAGAAAAGAGTTCTTTCTCTAGGTGTTCTGAGAGAAGTTTGTAAATTTGGATAGTACATTCTATCCTGATAAAACCACCTTGCTGTGGTCTTGATGTACAAAAAAAAATTTTTTTTTTGAGACAGAGTCTTACTCTGTCACCCAGGCTGGAATGCAGTGGCGCAATCTTGGTTCACTGCAACCCCCGCCTCCTGGGTTCAAGCGATCCTCCTGCCTCAACCTCTCAAGTAGCTGGGACTACAGGCGTGCACCACCACACCTGGCTAATTTTGTATTTTTAGTAGAGACAGGGTTTCACCATGTTGGCCAGGCTGGTCTTGAACTCCTGACCTCAGGCGATCTGCCCGCCTTGGCCTCCCAAAGTACTGGGATTACAGGCGTGAGCAACTGCTCCTGGCCCAAAACATCTCTTTCTACATACACTTGAGTAGGTGGCATAAAATGCACTGTCAATATATAGAAAACATGAAATTTTCCAAATATTTCCGATCAGAGAATCACAAGAGCAGCAAATGTGGTTTCATCAAGTGGGAAGAAAGCAGCAATTTAAAATAACTTTTTGGGAGACTGAATTGAGTAATAATAAAACTTCAGTCTTTCGCTAATAATAATAATAATAATAATAATAACAACAACTTATTGAATGTGGCCAGCTCACTAGATGAGGAAAGAGGAAGGCATTTTCTGCATTCTTGCCTAGTTTTCCTTATAAGCACCACTAAGTTAATAGCTCTGTCTTTTTGGTGTTTGCACTATGTAATGCTTTTAATACTTTTTAATTGTGCTTTTTTATGTATTAAATGTTTTTCCTTTTGCCATTGTGTGTTGTCATTATTTTTGAAATAGGTAATTTTGTGTGTATACAGTTAAATCTCATTGCTATTGGATCTTTTGGTCTGATAGACCAAAGATACAACAGAAAATTACTTCTGTTACTTCTTTGGGGAAATTAATGGACTTAAAATCAGCAGCATTGGATATTTTCCCCCAGTTACCTTTTAGAGCAATTGCTATATTTTATTTTCAGGGTCCCAATCCTGAAGAAATCCATCAAATTTTACAGAGTATTTTCTAACATTGAGCTCGTTGTGGTTTTGAATTGGGGCTAGTACGAGAGGTACTGAGGGTTTGTCACACCATATGCATTAATCAGTTGGTATGCCTAGCATCTGCTAGGGTCTCTAATGGCGGTTCTTAAACTTTGGGGATTATAGTCCTCCTTGAAAAGCTAATGAACCTCATGAAACCTCTTCTTATAAGTAGCACAATATTAAACATCAATTTCAGGGCTTCATTGAAACCACTGATCCATGACCCTCAGGTTCTGTTCTTTGGCAGGATGCCAAAGAAGAGTGAATGGCCCACAAAGAGCCTGGTAGCACATACGCTTTTCAAAAGGTCATGCACTTACAGCTAAAGCCATTAAGGTGAGTGAAACATCTGGCTAGTTGTCCTGAGCTTGGGTAGGGGCAGGATTACCATATAGTTGGTGCAGATTGCTGTGAACTGTATAACTCTTGGGGCACTGTTCATAGGCTGCCATATAAATGATCCTTTAGAGATGTGTAATATATATCTGAGGAGGCCTTGGGGGTGGGGTGGGGTGATAATGGACATACCATCGTAACTTTTTTTTTTGATACAGGGTCTTGTTCTGTCACCCAGGCTGAAGTGCAGTGGCGAGAGGTTCACGGCAGCCTTGACCTCCTGGCTGAAGCGATCCAGCCATCTCAGCCCCCCGAGTAGCTGAGACCACAGGCATGTACACCACGTCTGGCTGAATTTTTTGTGTTTTTGAAGAGATGGCGTTTTGCCATGTTGCCCAGGCTGGTCTTGAACTCCTGGGCCCAAGTAATCACCCACCTCAGCCTCCCAAAGTGCTGGGTTTACAGGCAGGAGCCACCATACTGGGCACCCAGGGTAACACTTTTTAAATGAAAACAAAACAAGGAGCATTAGAAACAAAAATGGGGCCAGCTTCTTTGTCTACTTAAGCCTTTCACATTTTGTATGTGACCTGTATAAGGTACTCTAATGCAATTTCAATGGCATAACGTGTTTCCTGGGGTTTTCCATCCTGCTCACCTTGAGTTCCTGGTGCTGTAGATGTATCATTTTTGTTGAATGTATTCTTGATACTAGAAGAAGAAGGCAAGCTGAAACTGGTAACTAAGCTTACAGAGTATTGCAGTTTTTTTTGGAAATAGGGTCTCGCTTTGTCCCCCCAGGCTGGAGTGCAGTGATGCAATCACAACTCACCACAGCCTCAGCCTTTAAGGCTCAAGTGATCGTCCTCCTCAGCCTCCTGAGTAGTTGGGACCACAAGCTCATGCCACTACACCTGGCTAATTTAAAATATTTTTTTTGTGAGGAGGTGTGGTCTTACTGTGTTGCTCATGTTTGTCTAGAACTCCTGGGCTCAAGCGATCCTCCTAGCTCAGCCTCCCAAAATGTTGCTTTTGCCTGGCACAATTGTTAGTAGGTAAATTTCACATCACTGTTTGTTTTGAGGGTTTGGGGGTTTTTTGTTTGTTTTTGGTGGAGTTACACAAGTCCATCATATAAAGGTATGAAAAGAGTTATTGCTATTAGGAAAAATTCAAGTCATTATAGGTTTGGGCATACAGGGTTAACCTTGTGATGTACATCCCCAGCCCTGAATTTATTTGATTAATCCTCTTTAAAATAAAGGATTACATTCAATCAATTTGTTAAAAACTTCAGCCGAATTAAATTTAGAGGAGTTTAATAGAGCAATGAACGATTCACGAATTGGGCAGTCTCCAGAATCACAGCAGATTCAGAGAGACTCCAGGGATGCCTCATGGTCAGAACAAATTTATAGACAAAAAGAGGGAAGTGACGTAAATAAATAGGCAGTGAAGTACAGAAACAGCTGGCTGGATTGGTTACAGGTGGGCGTTTGCCTTATTTGAACACAGTTTGAACACTCAGCAGTGTATGAGTGGTTGAAGTATGGCTGCTGGGATTGGCCAAGACTCAGCTATTGTTACAGGCACATACTCGTAAATTAGGTTTTCAATCTTGTCTGCCTATTAAGCTAGGTTACAGTTCATCCACAGGGACTCAAATATGTAAGTATGGAGTCCTTCTCAGGCCATATTTGGTTTGCTTTAACAAATAAATACTTATTAAATGTTAATATGAGCCAGAGACTGGTTGATACTGAGAATACAACAGTAAGGAAGCTGCTCTCAAGTTGCCTATGGCCAGACAATGGAGTTAGATACTTAAGACGGTTTCCACATGAGCCAAGGAAACAGTAGCTGAAAGAACTAAAGGAGAGAGAATGGCTTTTGGGGGGAACTCTTAAGTGTTTGTTGTGCCTGGAGCAAATGATGTGCTTGGAAAAGTGATGAGAGATGGTGCTGGAGTGGGAAGGGGCCTGGGTGTTGAAAGTGTGATATGCTAACCTAGTAGGTTTGAATGTTATCCTGAAGGTAGTGGAGAGCTACAAAGGTCTTAAGCAGGAGAGTGACATCATCTCATTGGCATTTTTGAAAGATCCTTCTGGCTGCATTGGTGAGAGTAGACTGGAGTGCTGTTTAGAGCAGGGATAACAGTGAGGCCATGGCAGTAATCTGGGCTGCATTGATACTCCTAAAGTCATGGCAGTGGGCTGGGCAAGAATAGTAATAGATGCATTATTGTAATAGAACACTTAGTAGGTGCTGACTTGACATCTGTTATTCCATGAGGCATTTAAGGCTCAGAGATGTTAAATAGCCTGTCAAAGGCAATTCAGAATTGCAGATAGTCAGTGGTTAAACCCAGTATGTTTGAGACAAAAGCCCAAAAGAAGTGCAAGGATTTGAGAGAAATCAAGGTAGAAGAGACAGACTTCATGACAATGCGTGCACTTTAAACAATGTATGTTTAAAGTGACCATCGTTTTTAGAAAAAAAAAGATGAATAAATGTGGTTTGAGGGAAGCAGGGAGTCAAGGATGACTGGGTAACTGGTAGATGGTGGTGCCATTCGTTGAGATAAAGAATATAGGACCGGGTGTGGTGGCTCACACCTGTAATCCCAGCACTTTGGGAGGCTGAGGTGAGCAGATCACCTGAGGTCAGGAGTTCGAGACCAGTCTGGCCAACATGGTGAAACCCTGTCTCTACTAAAAATACAAAAATTAGCCGGGTGTGGTGGTGCGAGCCTGTAGTTCCAGCTACTCGGGAGACTGAGGCAGGAGACTCGCTTGAACTCAGGGAGGCGGAGGTTGCAGTGAGCCGAGATCATACCACTGCACTCCAGCCTGGGTGACAGACCAAGGGAAAAAAAAAAAAAAAGACAATAGAAGAGTAGGTTTTTGATGATGGTGGTGAGATAGGAAAAAATGATGAGTTTAGTTTTGGTTGTGTTGAGTTTGTGCATATGAGAACATCCAAATGGAAGTGGAGCTTAGGAGACACCTGAGCTGTAAATATTAAGTACGTATCATGTATTTCGTATTGTCTAGGCACTGGGGGATACCGTGATGAAGATGAACATGGTTCCTGTTCTCCTGTCTAGGGAAACTGGTTAAGCATGTAAATATTAGCATAGTGAATGTTTTGTTGTGAGACTACATGCTGCTATGAGAAATACAGAAGGGGGACGTAATGTAGCCAAGAGCTTCTGAACAACCTCCGGGAAGAGATGAGCTGAGATTAAAGGAAGGTTAGGAGTTAGGAGAGGAAGGGAAAAGTGCCGTAGTTAGGAGGAAACATGCCAAGGTCTTGAGGTGAGAAAACAGTGGCATCTGGGAAGAACTAGAAAGTTTAGTGTCGCTGAAAGCATGGACAGAGAGAGATGAGTGAATTGAATTGCCTGGGCATCCTGGGAACGGGAAGACACCCTGATGGCAGGGAACCCGCGCCTGCGCTTTCGGGGTCAGGTCCAGGTCTGCCCCGCCAGGGCTGAAGCCAGCTCCTGGTGGGGCTGCAGTGAGGCGGAAGAGGTGGGATGCTGCTGCCTGGCGGTGCTGCGGCGGCAGACCTCCACGAGGAGGTCCTGGGCTACCGCGGGGTACACAGGCGGGCGGAAAAGGGGGAGCAGAGTCAGGGGGCAGTTGGGAAGCTCGGAGACAAAAGGAGGGAGGGAGCCAAAAAGCCTACAGCACCAGGTATTCCCAGGCGGTCTCCCATCCAAGTACTAACCAGGCCCGACCCTGCTTAGTTTCCGAGATCTGGCGTGTTCAGGGTGGTATGGCCGTAGACACTAATGGTGGTGCCTGGCTGCCTCTTCAAGAGCCCGGCCCAGCCACGCCCGCCCGACTCCAGGCGTCACTGCCACCCCAGGGTCGTGGGGCTCGGACTGGGGACCCCTGAGCTGCTCGCCTGCGGTCGGACTGCTCTCCCCTTCTACGCCCAAGCACCGCCGGTCTGCCCTGCTGCGCCTTCCACCGGCCTCCCAGAGCCTCCAGCCATACAGCAGAGATGGTGGTTGGGATAAGAGTTTGAAGAGAGTGGAGCAGGTCTGGAACAGGTATTCTGGAGAATAGGGGAGAGAACAGAGTAGGAAAATTTCCACAAGGCAATTGCCTGAGACTGTCCAATTTGCAGACCAGGGCTTTTCAGCCTCAGGACTGTTGACATTTTGGATTGAAGAATTCTGTGATGGGGGCTGTCCTGTGTGTTCTAAGATGTTTAGCAGCATTCTTGGCCTCTGCTCCCTAGATGCCAGTAGCACTCCCCTAATTATGACAATAAAAAATGTCCGCAGACATTGGTAAATATTACTTAAGTGGGAGAATGGCCTCTGGTTGAGGACCACTGAGGCCAGCCAATGCGTACTACAGGAGAAACATCACACAACCTGCAGATTGGTGTCACACATTTATGGCCCTGACCTGGCCTCTCAGTTCTATCTGGTTCTTCTGTTTTCCTCATAGGCGAAGTAATGGTTCTAACCTAGAAGACAGAATGAGGTGAAGACAGGCTAACTTCTCTAAGCTCTCAATGACTCACGAGATAATAGATGTCAAGATAGAACCTACTAAGTGTTCAGTAAATGTTATCTATTGTCATTTCCAGGAGGGGGCTGATTGAAACTGAAGAATAGTACAGTAGGAGGAGAGGACCAGGAGCTGAAAAGACAGGTCGCTATGTTGAGAGAGAGAGAGAGGAAGAAAGATCTAATAGGACTTCAAAGGCTGTGGTAGATGTATTACTGTCAAAACCTGCGCAGCTTTTCTCTACCAGGCCTTGGAAAAGATTGCACTTCCTGCACCACTGGCAGCGGGCTGGCCAATGGGATGCAAGTGGAAATGAACTGTGCTATTCTGAGCAGAGGCTTAGGGACCATTGTGTGGGTAAGTCAGTGCTCTTTTTCCTCCACGTGAGGCTAGTGTGTCCCAAAATGGGGGCTGCTCCCTTTGACCTGTCTCCAAGACTGAAGAGAACAGGGACCATAGCTGTACCTATCCTGCGAGGGACAAAGGAACAAGCTTTTGTTAATTCAAGCGATTGAGATTTGGGGGTTTGTTACCACAGTGTAATTTGGCATAAGCTGACTGGCATACGGTGGAGCATCCCAGATGAGGGCAAGCTCCCAGGGCCTAACAGAGTGAGTGGCTGGAGTATGTGAAGGTGAAATTCTTTGACATGAAGTGGTTAAGGTCCCACGAGGCCGTGGTGTTAGATGGGTCATTCATGTGATGTTGTTATCATCCAGGAAGCTGGTAGGAGGTAGGAACCCAAAGTCTGTAATGAACAAGGGAAAGTGTGAGCAAAGTCAGCAGATGACAGCAGTAAAGGAGGAGTAAAGGGGAGTATAGATCTAAATATATATATGTATATGTGTGTGTGTGTGTGTGTGTATGTGTGTGTATATATATGCAGAGATTTGGTATATATATGTGTATATATATATGTGTGTGTATATATATGTGTGTGTGTGTGTATATATATATATGTGTATATATATATATGCAGAGATTTGGAAGTGTGGAAGAATAGGGGTCTGAGTGCAGTACTGGGGAGGCCCCATACCCTATCCTGAAAGCACATGAGGTATGGGAAAGTGACCACCAAGATCCTTTGGAGGGAAAGCCAGGTATCTTTTAAGGCAAAGAAGAGGAGGAAAGAAGAGTTTGCAGATGTAGGCAGGAAGTTGTTTATGAAACAGAGTGATAGGCCGGGTGCGGTGGCTCACACCTGTAATCCCAGCACTTTGGGAGGCCGGAGGTGGGCGGATCACCTGAGGTCAGGAGTTTGAGACCAGCCTGGCCAACATGGTGAAACCCATCTCTACTAAGAATACAAAAATTAGCTGGGCGTGGTGGTGGGCACCTGTAATCCCAGCTACTCAGGAGGCTGAGACTGGAGAATCGCTTGAACCCAGGAGGCGGAGGTTGCAGTGAGTGGAAATCAAGACATTGCACTCCAGCCTGGGCGACAAGAGCAAAACTGTCTCAAAAAGAAAAAAAAAAAGAAAGAAAGAAACAGAATGATAGTGTAGTTGGAGTCAAGAGTTGACTGCTTTGAGAACTTGTCTCCAGAAAAAGGGCATGTACTTGTGCAAAATGTTATATGCAAATTCAAAAAACATTTAGACTTCCTAGAACCATCTGTGGACCCTAGATTAAGAACCCTGATCTGGAACAGTGGCTCTCAAACTTGAGCAAACAGTTTGACAGGTCTGACGGTGTTTGACAGGTTGTTGGGCCTCACCCAGAGGTTTCAGTAACGTAGGTCTGCATGCGGTCCAAGCATTTGCATTTCTATCAAGTTCCCAGGTGATGCTGATGTTTCCGGCCTAGAAACCACATTCTGAGAACCACTGCTGAAGTCTAAGGCTAAGGGGGAAAGGTTTGGGGAGAGGAAGAGGAACAGTGGGAAATGGTTAAGGACAAGATTATGAAAGCATCATGGGGATGAGAATGGATTTTTGTTTTGTTTTACTAGGCTTAGGCAGATACTCCAATATTTCTGACACATACATACACGGAAAACCTTGCAAGAGTGGAGAAAAGAAGGGAGAGGTGAGTGAGCACTTATTTTAAGTTTAGGGCAAGGGGTGCAAAAAAATATCTTTTATAGCCTTAAGGATCACTTTCTTGAACACCCTTACTTTACAACAACAGATGTGATATCAAGTATCACATGGCCAATTCACACCTTTGGTCTGGTAACCAGCTCTTGCCCCCTCTCAGTCTAGGGCTTGTTCCCCTTCATCATTAACCTCTAAGAGAATCACTAGTGGGAAATAAGCTATGCTTTTGATTCAAGGTAAAGAGACTCGAACTTTCCAGTGCCCTAAACTGGGAAATCTTAAACTCCAGCAAAGTACAATGCTCAAAACTGGGTAAAGCTGCTACCTTCGTAGGGGATACATTTTGGAGAAAATTGCATCTACTTTCTTCTTTGTCTTTTCTTTTTGTGTGAGTGTGAGTGTGCATGACAGTTTGTCTATGTTTGAAAACCTGACCATCAGCATTCCTGGAATTCTTGGCAATGAATTAGGATTGCCAGTTAGCTGCCTGCTGGGTGACCTTAGGTAGTTCACCTCGTGTCTCTAAGCCTCAGCTTCCTAATCTGTGAAACAGGCTGATGGACCAGTGAGATAACGCCTGTGAGGTGCTTATCACCTGATACTGCCTCTTCTTGCTGGCACATCAAGCTGGAGGATTGCAGCATCTGAACACGAATGACCAATCAAATCTCGGGCCTATACCCCACAGACGTAACCTTTATCTCCCACCAGAGGGCACCAGTAACCTATAAAAATCTAAGGGGGCGGGCGGTCCCTCTTGCCCTTAACATCGTTGAATCTGCTTGAGTATAACTCCCTTAAGTCTATTGAAATATTCTTACCCCTGGTGTTTTAAGAAATCATTTGAAAAATACCTCTCACACCCAGAAGGAAAATATGGAGTAGAAGTGTAGGGTAAATGGTGCTCCAACTCCCCACCAGCCACCAAGAGAGCTCTATTTCCATTTTGTATTTTGTCCATTTTTACCATTCAGTCTCCATCTCCTCGAGACTATCTGTAACCTAGTTTTACAAATTATTCTCTCAGTAATAACCTATTGCAGTTCCCTTCTTCCTGGTTTATTCAAATGAACTGAACTGCTGTTTTTTTTCCCTTTGATGTACAACCTCCCGCCTCCTAGCCTATCGGGCCAGCCTTCCTTCCAGCAGGCAGTAGGGGGAGGGATCTATTTCTGAGCCTCGGTAGAGCCTCAGAAGCTGTTTCCCTGAATCCCTCTGTGATGAGAGCCTAGTGGTCAACAGGTACCTATCACAAAAGGCTGTATTCCAGGAGAAAACTCTTTCCCCATCTAAGGAAGGGAAACGACTAGAAGTTGAGGCTACCCACCACCACCTCCCTGAAAACATTACAGACTTCAGGGACTCAATGATAACCAATGTGTATCTGTGTCCTGTATACACATAGGGTTTGTTCTTTGTCTTTGTTCTTTAATTTGCTGGGGAAGGAAATACAGCCTCGGGCTAGCTTTCACCATTGCACCTGGGAGTGCTGGCCGAGACAAGAAAAGCCAACAAGAATATTGACTAGAAAAAGGGTATTGGCCAGGCACAGTGGCTCACGCCTGTAATTCCAGCACTTTGGGAGGCTGAGGCAGGCGGATCACCTGAGGTCAGGAGTCTGAGATCAGACCGGCCAACATGGATTTGTACTAAAAATACAAAAAACTAGCCAAGTGTGGTGGTGTGTGCCTATAGTCCCAGCTACTCGAGAGGCTGAGGCAGGAGAGTCGCTTGAAACCAGGAGACAGAGGTTGCAGTGAGCCAAGATCACAGCACTGAACTCCAGCCTGGGTGACAGAGTGAGACCGTGTCTCAAAAAAAAAGGGTATGCTGTTTGTCTTATTAGGAACACAGAACCATGGAATATTCGGGATGACCAGGACTCCGGAAATCTAGTACAACCTTTCATTGTTCAGAGGGGAGAAACATGACCAGGGTCATGTGGTTTGTGAATGGCAGACTAGCTCTTCCAGCTCGAACTAGAATTCAGGTCTGTGGGCAGGCACACCAGTTCCTGTCTCACCATTCCATTTCTGAATCAGCCATCGTTGCTAGCATTTGTTGTTTGCTTAGTATGTGTCAAGTATCTGTTCTTTAAATCTCACACAATCCTCACAACAACTCTGTGAAAGAAATGAATTGGTATAAGAATGAAATACATTATTCTCATTTTACACAGGCATAGAGAAAAATGATGTAGGACAAAATTAGCTAGCATTCTGTTTAAATCAATATTTTCCCATGAGGGTTAGCGGCATTTTGAATGGAATAAGGTTTTGGTTTGTTTTTTAATGGGACTACTCCTAGCATAGCATGATATTTAGCATTTTTGGACCCCAAGCACTAATTGCCCCAGTCATTATAATACAAAAAATTTCCAAAAGTCCTTAAACGTAGACTATAGATGGTCCTGTTGCTGGTGGAGCACTACTGATTTTTTTTTTTTTTTTTTTTTTTACACAGGGTCTCACTCTGTCACCAGGCTGGAGTGCAGTGGCACAATCTAGGCTCACTGCAGCCTCGACCTCCCAGGTTCAAGCAATCCTCCCACCTCAGCCTCCCGGTTAGCTGGGACTATAGCTATGCGCCACCATGTCCCTATGTTGCCCAGGTTGGTCTCGAACTCCTGGGCTCAAGCCATCCACCTACCTCAGCCTCCCAGAGTGCTGGGATTACAGGTGTGAGCCACCATGCCCGGCTGAACACTACTGATTTAAATGCATGGGCACAAGGAAAGGAGTAGTTAACAAAGTTGCTTTGTTAGTTTGGTTATTTTTATATCAATAAAGGCCACAAGATGGAAATAGGAGCAGGACAAGAGGAAGGAAATCCCTTGGGGTGAGTGTGGCTCTGGAAGGGAAGAGGTTAAATTATAAAGGAAGGGAATGAACCATAGGCCAAGGAGGATCCTGGCACATGGCAACTGGTAAAACTTGGAGGATGAACAAGGTCTGGTCTCACAAACTCATAAGCTACAGAGACCAGTGCGATCTCAGAGGAGAGCTGCTGGAATGGGGACAGTAGGGAGTGCAGGAGGTGAGAGTAAACTGGAGATCCATGCCCATAACAATGGGATAACCAACACCCAACTCCGGCCAGGTCTTTTCAGATGGTAGTGTGGGTCGTGGTTGCCAGCCTTTCCAATATACCAAGAAAATCCACAAGGCTAGATTTTTCTAGGAAATCTCTCTGTTGTCAATATTGGATCAAAAGAAAAGTTTTGAAACACTAGGTAGACCCAGAGAAAAATGCTTGCAGGTGAATTTGGGTAGTCCGACTCATGGGATCTCTGAGGGGCCATTCTCATCTAAGGTGCTGTGGTACATGCCCACTCTGCTGGTTGATGAAAGGGAGACAGGTTTCAGCTCACACAAGATGGAATTTACCACCAGTCTATGCTGGCAAACAGTGAGCAGGCTGGGCAGAGGAGTAGTAAGCATTCCCTGGGGCACCGGGCTCCGCACAGGCCAGGAGCTGTCACAGGAGCTAAAGCAGGGATTCCTGTGCCATCTCCGGTCCCTTCTGGATCTGAGATTCAGGAATTCTGGGGCTGTGATTCCTTGAAGGCAGAGCCGGGAACATGAAAACCGTAGACACTAATCAATGCCTGTAGTGCTAACAGCTCAGACCCCTGGGCAATTGTTCTTGAGCTTGGTCCTGTCATTCCCTCTGCTGTGTAGGAATGAGGAAAAGAAGTCGCGTGAGTCCCTGCTCCCTAGAGGTCTTTGCCTTGGTTCATAATACTGACAGTTTGCAAAATCAAGCTGCTTTTATTCTCTCTCAGCCAGTGAGTCCCTGACACAAACTGCAGAGCTAAACAAGCAATTTTCCAGCCCAGCTGTTCAGGCACACTCTGAGTTTAAACGCACTCTTCTTTAAAAACCACCAGGAGCTGTATCCTCCCCCATGCTTGTTTCCTCTCCTGTTAACCCAGCAGAAAGTAGGTTCTACAAGGTAGCAGTGCTTAACATGCTGGTGCCTGCAGATCCTCCACTGGACGCTACCCTCCTTCCCCTGTGGAGTGATGACGGGATGCCCCACTTGTTTAGAATGAAACCCCAAACTCCAGTGTGTGTGCGTTCTCTGTTCTTTCCAGGTGGGGCCTGCCTGGGCTTCTCGCTGTCTGGTGGAGCCCCACTATGCCTTTAAAAGCAGGGCCTTTGATCATTTCTGACTTTTAGCAGCAGATAGTCAAATGAGGGGGAGGTGGCAGGGCTTTGCCAACCAGACCCCTGATGTGGACGAGTTGAAAACCCAGGCTGCAAATGTTAATATTGTCACATGCTAGGAAATCTCTGCTTCAATTCACCAGATACTAGTTAGTCATTGGCTTGTGAAGTCTGTAATCCCTCTCGTTTCTGGCTTTGCTTACAACCCTGCACCCTGGGTGCTGGAGCAGACTCTCAGGAAGGGAGATGGTGCCAAGCCCTGTTCCTGTCTTTCTTGGTCTGCATGCCAGCTTAGGCCAGGTTTTTATTGAGCTTCAGGATCGGATCTTCGTTATAGGCGGGGAGGACAGTGTAGGTAAAGCCTACTGACAAGTGCCTTAGACCCCTTGCACTGCCATAAAAAATATCTTAGCCTGGGTAACTCATAAACATCTTTTTTTCTTTTCTTTTTTTGAGACAGGGTCTCACTCTGTTGCCCATGCTGGAGTACAGTAGCACAATCTCCACTCATTGCAACATCCACTTCCCGGGCTCAAGCAATTCTCGTGCTTCAGCCTCCCTAGTAACTGGGATTACAGGTGTGCACCACCACACTCAGCTAATTTTTGTATTTTTAGTAGAGATGGGGCTTCACCATGTTGGCCAGTCTGTTCTCAAACTCCTGACCTCAAGTGATCCACCTGCCTTGGCCTCCCAAAGTGCTGGGATTACAGGCATGAGTCACCGTGCCTGGCCTCATAAATATCTTTATGAGTTGTTTATTGCTCACAATTCTAGAGGCTGGGAAGTCCAAGATCAAGGTGCTGGCAGATTCGGTGTCTGGTGAGAGCCCATTCTTTATGGGTGGTGCTCTCTATGTGTCCTCACGTGGCAGAAGGGCAAACAGCTTTCCTCTAGCCTCTTTTATAAAGGCACTTGTCCCATTCATGAGGGCTCTGCTTTCATGATCTCATCATCTCCCAGAGTCCCCACCTCTTAATACTATCACCTCGGGAATTAAGTTTCAACATATGAATTTTGGGGAGACACCAGTGTTCAGACCATAGCACAAGCCATGCAGCACAATAGACAGAATGCATGTGGAGGCTAACACCAGAGAAGGTCATTTTTGGGGTTTACTCCATCTGGACCACCCTCTGGCATCCCCAGGGTCAGTCTGTAAGTTGTAATTTTCTTATCTCTTTTCTATTCAGCCTCGGTGTCTGGATGCCCAGCCTAACCAAGTCAGCTTCCCATCTTTGGCTGAGACAAGGAGAACCCTGCTGGGCTAGGGGACCCAGGTAATGTTGCTCAGGCATTGTCCTTTTTTTTTTTTTTTTTTTTTTTTTTGAGATGGAGTCTCACTTTGTCGTCCAGACTGGAATGCAGTGGTGCGATCTCGGCTCACTGCAACCTCTGCCTCTAGGGTTCAAGTGATTCTTGTGCCTCAACCTCCCGAGTAGCTGGGATTACAGGCATGTGCCACCACACCTCACTAATTTTTGTATTTTTAGTAGAGACAGGGTTTTGCCATGTTAGCCAGGCCGGTCTCAAATTCCTGACCTCAGGTGATCTGCCCACCTCGGCCTCCCAAAGTGCTGGGATTACAGGCGTGAGCCACCATGCCCAGATGGAAAAGACATTTTAATGCCACAAATGTAGGAAGAATATAATCTCCAATAATGGACAGTCTTTTGAAGGAAATCATTTAGCTTCGTCAAAAAACTGACCTCATTCTTATTTTTCTAATTTCATCCCCCATGTGACATCCTTGTTACACACTCCCCGGCCCTCAGATGGGACTGGCACTTGGGTGCCTCTGGACTAGATTTCCACTTTTCATTTCTACTTTCTGTGCCTGTCTCCATGCTTTCTGCTTTGTGATGAAATGAGGATAGTCATAATGTTAGAAAAAGTTGTGCAAGACTTTGAAATGGCAAAAGAAGGTTGTTATTGGGCATTCTGTCTGTTTGCCTATGGGTTACCCCTGCCTTTCTTTCATTGTCTTTGAGCTATTTTATGACTCTGAAAATTGTAGAAAACTGATAACAATGCAAATGATTTTGTCCATAGAAATGCAAATTATATCCATTGGAAATGCAACTGATTATTGCCCTATGGATATTGACCAGTTTTATATTTGTTAAGCAAATTAATGTCAGCATTCCCGATGGCTTCTGTATGCATCTGCTCTTTGGATTCTTTTTTGAGCGGTCGTAACATCTTACTAGTTCCCTTATTAATCGACGAGTTAAATCATTGGCATGTCTGAATTTCATGTTTGTAAGAGGTTGTATTTATACAAGGGCCTTGATTTTTACCTTTAAACATTTCTTTAACAATAACTCCCCTGAAGGTTGTTATGAGGCAGAATGAGATCATGGATAAGAGAGTGCCTGGCTCAGGGCCTGAATTCACCTCTCATAGTTGGGACAATCCTTGCTTCCTCCTGGTTTCTGGGCTCTAGGGCACCTTGTATTCTCACAAAAATAAATAAAATCTTTTAATTACACTTTTCACATTACAGCATTAGTAACTTTCATGAGAATTTTCACCTTTCAAAAGGAGACCCTAGGGAGACTATAATGCTTACCCAGAGGAATTCCTGCAATGGTGGAAATCCGGAGGGTGGAGTACACAGGTGCCACAGATATTGGGGGCCAAGGGCCTTTAAAATAACCTGCCTAGGTGCTATTCAGCTGCAGAGGGCAGTTCAGTTCCCTGACCTTCACCCCTTCCCCCATGTTGGGAGTGCTGGCCTTACCATGGTAAGGAGAATGGTTACAACTTTGTACCAGGATTTAAAAATATATACTTTATTAAATCCGCTCCTCAGCTAAATCTGTGAGGTGAACATGTTTATCCTTGTTGTTGATGAGAAACTAGGACAGGTTAAATGACTCACCCAAGGTTATACAGCTAGGAAGTTGTTGTGCCAGGATTTAAATCTAATGCCAGGGGCCGGGCCCAGTAGCTCACGCCTGTAATCCTAGCACTTTGGGAGGCTGAGGTGGGTGGATCACCTGAGGTCAGGAGTTCGAGACCAGCCTGGCCAACATGGCCAAACCCCCGTCTCTACGAAAAAAATACAAAAATTAGCCAGGCGTGGTGGGAGGTGCCAATAATCCCAGCTACTCGGGAGGCTGAGGCAGGAGAATCACTTGAACCTGGTGAGGGCCGGGGGAGGGGTGGTGGAGGTTGCAGTAAGCCAAGATTGCACCACTTCACTCCAGCCTGGGCGAAAGCATGAAACTCCGTCTCAATCAATCAATCAATCAATCAATCAATAAAATAAATCCAAGGCCTAAATCCAAATCTCATGCTCTATCTGTGATCTGAGCCATGGAGTAGCCATTCTAATCAGGACTCTTTTTTTCTACTCCAAACTCATCACCACTGCCAAAATCCACTGCCAAGGGTTACACCTGGGCAAGGACATTGCTCCAGTTCAAATTCAAATGACCTGGGAGACAAAACCCACTTTTGTGAAAATATGTCAGAAAGAAATTGATCTGAACTTGGGAACAGGTTTTGATCCAAGGGCTAGTGTACAGCCCAGGGAGGGCCAGCGGAAGTAAGAAGACAGCTCCATCCATCAGGAGCCTCTGTGTTCAGGGGACAGTGGGCAGGGGGTGGGTTGCCAGGAGAGGGAAGAAGCTGGGGAGGATCAAGGGAAAAAGTTAGGGGAAGAGCGCTGAGAGTTCACGCCCACTCTCCTGCTTGGGCCCTGATAACTGGGGAAGATTCAGGGCAGAGAAAGAGGAGTTTACAGGTCTCAGGAACTGAGGTGGGTTACACCCAGTAAATGACTTCCTAAAGGTCAACTAGCCAAAGCCATGCCCTCCTCTGTGGCCTGGGCCAGGTGGGGCAGGCCAGGTGGATGCTGGGATGGCCCAGAGGGCAAATAATGGACAATGAACCAGGCCAGGGCAGCATCTCTGCTGGGCGGGAAAAACAGGAAGCTCAGGCACATGCAAGCCAGGTAAGTGTGTGTCTTGAAGATGGATGAGAGTTCCCAGACAAGGGTGACCTTTTCTTTCACCTCGTCCAGCTAGACAGACGTGGTGGTTCCAAGGCCCCTTGTCATCTGCTGATTGCTTTGTGATTAATGTACAAGTCACTTATTCCCATCTCCTGTCCCTGCTCCATTCTCCCCCAGCTCCCGGGCAGACTCTTCTGCCCTTAGGTAATTTACTTAGAAATGATTGTCCCTAGAATCTCTCCATGTGCTTTGTGTACAGATAGTGACCAGGTTCTGCATGTGATTTCCCTGTGGAATTCCAACCAAGGACAGACAGGTGAGTCACAGCACTATGGAGAGACTTAAATATCTGCAATGAGCAAAGCAAGGCTCAGCCGGGGGCAGACTCAGTCCTGCAGGAATTGCCCTTCTTCCTGCATGGTTTTGGGGTCAGCTGGAGAGCAATGAGTTTGCACATGCTGGTCATTCACCAGAGCTGCCTGTGGGGTCTCAACAGAGTTCCACCTAGAAGGGACAGCCTGACCCTGGTTTACCTGGGAACCAGAGAAAAGCAGCTGGAAGGCTACTCTCAAGTCACCAATACCAAGCCAGGTAGACCCTATCCCCTACAAATACAGGAAGCCAGTGGTCTCCAATGGACATTATTACTTCATTTTCACACATATTTTATTCACTTTGACCTGGGGCTCAAAACACAGACTGCATATAAAATGGGTTTGATGCTGATTTGGCTACATGGACTTCATAATTCATCAGAGCAGGAAAGACAGAATCATAAGCTGTTATTCATTCATTCAACAAATATTTACTGAACACCAGACAGGAGAGAGGGATTGCCTGTGTTAATTCATTAGGAAGAGCACATCGTATTAATAATACTTCATGCTGTTCAGCTTTTCGTGCTGCAGCAGAAATTATTTAATTACCCTTTACTTCCACCCCGGCCTCCCTACCTTCCACTACAGAGCAGTTGAAAATGTTTTTGTTCAGTATGGGGAAGCTTTGTAAGGTAAAGGACAGGCAGGAGAGAAAGAATGCTCTATTTGCAAAACAAGGCCAGGGGTGTGAGCTCTTGAAAGACAGAGCAAAGTTATGACAGCCGGAGGAATGTGAATTCCTCCAACAGACCAAATGGGAGCTTCAGAAAAAAATTAATCTGGTGGCAGAATATATCTGGCTTCAGACTTTTAAGTATGAAACTAGCTGCTGTGAGAATAGGAAGCCCACACTCAGAGCTCAGCCTGCCCTCTACAGAGCAGGCAGGCGTTCCTTTCCCTGGGGACTACGAAGAAGACAAGGGCTTCCGAAGGTGTCCCACACGCAGCCTCCCTCCTTCCCCAATTCCCCCTCCTGCTTCCACACTTATCTCTCCCCCAGTGAGTGATAGCCAAATCCTCTCCACTTGCAGATGTAGCCTTGGGAGGACAGCACAAGGGGATGCAGCCCTGGAGCAGCAGCAGGTGTGGCCCATCTGGACTCACCACTGCTGTGGAAAGGGGCCCCGGCCAGCTGGCCCTGTGGGCTGGAATTAGAGCAGTCGTAATGGGCTGTGTTACACAGTGTGCTCTTCTAATCAGATACATGTGGACATTAACTAATTAACGGCAGCCCTGTGAGTTAAGTATTGTGATGAGTGAATTTGACAGATGAAGTACAGAGAAGTTAAATGACTTGCTTGGGGTCACACTGCTAGCAAGGGGTGGAACAGGGATTTGAATCTGGGCAGTTTGCCTCCAAAGTCCTCATAATTAACAGTGATCCATTCTGCCCTCCTATCTGACCATTTCTCTTATGTTAGACTCTTTTGAATGCAAGTGACAGAAACCCAAGCTAAGGATGCTCCAGGCAAGGAAGCAGCATTTGCAAGGCTTGGAGACCCAAAAGAAGGAAAGCGGTCAGGGAGGGTTCTAAGTTACTGGAAAGAGAGACAGAGGGAAGTCACAGGAGGACCTTCAATTGGGTCAGGCACAGGGAGGCAGGGGCTCACCGCCATGGCCTGAGCTGAGGACACCAGTTGTCACTGGGGCTGGATGTGAGGAGAGACACTAGGGGACTAAGCATGGCCTGGAACCTGCTGCCTTCCTTGGCCCGCGCTCCTCACACCCTCCTACTCCCAACTCTCCTCTCTTTCCTCATTTATTATTATTATTTTTATTTTTTTGGTGGTTTTTCCAAATCTTTTTCCTGCTGCCGACTCCCCTGAAGTCCCTGAAGAATGAGGGCTTCACAGAAGCAGCTTTGATCTCTTTCAGTGGCTCCCAGAGGGGCTGTCTCTGGTGCAGATTAAGTGTGTAGTTTGACACCCATCCCATTAGTCCTGTTCTTTTAATTAAACATTCAGTAGGAGGATGGCGCTGTGGCTGGCATTGGGAGCCGGCAGGGGGCCACCGGGTACATTGAAGCCTTCTTTCTTTAGTGGGATTGCGTGCCTTGATTCATCTTTTTCCCCCTTTGCCACTCTCCACTTCCACCTCTGCCAGTTTTGATGTTTGAGTTCTCCCTGAATCCATACAGGATGCTGGCCATCTCAGGGAGGAGGGCAAGGCAAGCTGGCAACTTGGCCGAGCTCCTGTTGGACTGAGTGGTTTCCTCCTCGGGCTGTTGTGTGTGAACTTGAGTGAGCCATTCAACCTTCCTGGGTTTCTGTGTCCTAATGCATCAGACAGGGCGACTTGTGACTGCTCCTCCTGACCTCCTGTACAGGGAGAGGCTACAGGACAAATGGAACCAAGAGGAGACCCAGAAGGCAGAGGCCCGAGCAGTGTGTCCCTGAGATGCCCAGGTCAGGGCATGCCCTACCCCTTCCCACCAGCAAAAGTTCCAGCAGCAAGGAGGTTCCAGCTGTTCCCTTGGAATCTGTTAGGCTTCTGTGGTTGGGGGATGGGTGCAGGGAGGAGAGAAGAGACTGGAGATGATGCAGTGGCAGAGCAGGGGGTGGTGGGGTGAAGGCTGTGGGCCCACAAACTTGCTTATATGTACAAGGCTGCAATGAATGCAGCCTCTCCTTCCCTCCCCTCCAGCTAGCTGGAGTGCTAACTGGGGTGGACAGACAGGTTGGTTTGGGAGCAGGCGGCAGAGAGGAGATGGGCAGAGCCGGGAGCAGGAGGATGGGCCAGATAACCCTGGGACCTTTGTTCTATGACAGGCAAGTCAGCAGGATGTCAGGCCTGGCTTGATCTTACACCCCTCGACTGAATGCCCGGGAGTCCCTGAGCGTTGGGGCAGGAGGAGCCTTAGAGACTGTAAGGACAGTGTAACCGCCTAGTGGGTTCACCTTCCCTGCTGCCTAGACAGGGGAATTACAGTGAAGAAACAGTAATTCATGCAGAGCCAGCTGTGCGGGAGACCGGAGTTTTATTATTACTCAAATTAGTCTCCCCAAGCATTTGAGCATTCAGGGATCAGAGTTTTTAAAGATAATTCAGTGGGTAGGGGCTTGGGAAGTGGTCAGTGCTGACTGGTCAGGTTAGAGATGGAATCATAGGGGGTCGGAGTGAGGTTTTCTTGCTGTTTTCTGTTCCTGGGTGGGATGGCAGAACTGGTGAAGCCAGATTACTGGTCTTGGTGGTGTCAGCTGATCCATCGAGTGCAGGGTCTGCAAAATATCTCAAGCACTGATCTTAGGTTTTACAATAGTGATGTTATTCCCAGGAACAATTTGGGGAGGTTCAGACTCTTGGAGCCATAGGCGACATGACCCCTAAACTGTAATTTCTAATCTTGTAGCTAATTTGTTAGTCCTACAAAGGCAGACTGGTCCCTAGGCAAGAAGGGGCCCCTCTGGGCACCCAGCCTATTAGATGGTAACTATGCAGAGAGGAAAGGGCAGACTTAGTCCGGGTTCTGCCCCTCGTGCACTATGTGCCCTTGGCCAAAACACTTCCCTTCTCTGGGCCTGGTTTCCTCATCTGGGGTAACTATACCTGCCTTCTTGTGCCTCATGGGGTCAGAGGCTAAAATGAGGTCATTCTCTCTTTTCTGGACATTTATAATTTAATTACAACTAGTTCTTGACCCTGAGAGATTCTTAAATGTGTCTATAAAATTTAGAAGGTCTGAGTTTTACTAACCTGCATCATTTTTCTGGGATCCCAGGATTCCCAGACCAGAGGGTGGGGCAGGGCCCTGTGATATGTCTAACACACCCATGAGGCCTAGAGTGCACCCACCACTGGCTGCAAAGCACTGCAGCTTTATAGGTCCTAGAGCGAAAAATGGTTTACATTTATTGAAGGCTTTTAAAAGAATGTTCCAGGTTCTCCATATCTGTTGTTTCATTGAAGTGTCACCATCTCATTAATGGCTATTGTCCTCATTTTATTTACGTTATGTTTTTGTTTTTTTTGAGGCAGGATCTCACTCTTGTCACCCAGGCTAGGATGCAGTGGCACTGTTACAGCTCACTGCAACCTCGACCTCCCGGGCTCCTCAATTCTCCCACCTCAGCCTCCCAAGTAGCTGGGACCACAGGCATGTGCCACCGCACCTGGCTAAATGTTTGATTTTGTATGTAAACAAGGTCTTGCTATGTTGCCCAGGCTGGTCTTGAACTCCTGGCCTTAAGCGATCCTCCTCCCGCTTCAGCCTCCCAAGGTGCTGGAATTACAGGCGTGAGCCACTGCACCTGGCTTGGCCTCATTTTATACACGAGAAATTTGGGGCCTGGATAAAGTGTAATTATGTCTTCACACAACTGGCAAGTGGCAGAGCCAAGACTCAAACCAGGGTTTGGGGGGCTCCAAATCCCTCAGCCTCTGCTGCCTTGAGGCCTTGGCCAGATGGAGTTGTAGCAGGCGTGACCCTGCGGGTGCCTCAGATCAAGGACTCCCCAGGTTTGCCAGGTGGTGGCCTCAGAGAAGCCCAGGGAGCTGCTGGCCCCTCCTGAGAGGCTAGGGGCAGGACACAAGCTCTCTTGAGTCCTCCCAAAGCTGAAGGAAGAGACGAAGTGAAGGGCCCAGGGCTGCAGAGAGGCTGGACAAGGCAGAGCTCAAGTCAGCTCCTCCTTTAGGAGCCTCCTGAAGCCCCTGGGGAGCTGTCCCTGACTGTACTTCTGCAACAGGTAGCCTGGCCTCTTTTAGGGCACATACATATGTTACTACATTTATGTTATTGTCATCTGCAGGTCGTAAAATTCCACTAGGGGTTCTCCCTTATTCCCTTGAAAAGTCCTTGAGAGCAGAGACCCTATTATGTGTTGCCCTAGGTACCAGGTAGAGGCCTTTCAAAGATTAGTAGGTGATCAATGAATATTGTTGAGTGAGCTATTAATAATGATTATTTCTAAGACCATAAAAGGTGACTTCATATACATGATCTTATTTCCTCATTCATTCAAATCCGTGTACATTTGCTGGGCTTACGATAATATGCCTGGACTTTGCTAGATTCTGGGCATGCAATGACAAATTAGACACCCTGTCTGTGCCCAAGAAACTTATGTCAGGGTGGGGAGAGTGCAGGAAAAAGACTGAAAAAGACAAAACAAAACCAAAAATGAAAGCACAGAAAATTTGCAGTATGTGCAGCCAGCAGTCAACGGGTGCTGGTGAAACCGAGAGGAGGAGGCTCCAGCCCAGCCTGGATCAGGGGAGGCTCCCAGGGGAGAGGAAGAAGGGTTGGGCTTTGTGTGCCAGGAAGGAGGGGGTGAAGGGGAGGGGATGGGGGCTCTGGAGGCAGGGGAGCCTGTGGGAGATGGGACATGTTCAATAGCTCAGTCCAGCAGTGCAGAGGGGAGTTTTGAGAAATGAAACAGGAAGAGGGAAGAATGGAAACCACACCTTTTATTGGAACATAGAGTGCTTTGTATTTCTCAAAACACTTTCACATCTATTATCTCCAGTTAGCCTAAAAACAACAGCAGAAGCAGCAGCAACAACGATGCTGAGTGCTGACTGCGAGCCTGGCTTCCTCGGAGGGAGTTTACCGTGCGCTGCCTCCTTGGACCCTCATCACTGCCCTGCGAAGCAAGCACTTTCCTCACCCCCTCTGTCTGGAGGAGGGCACTGAGGCACCGAGAAAACTGGGCAGGGGAGGCCCGAGAAGGAGAGGGTGGCACCGTCATTCTCACTTTCCAGCTGAGGACACGGGTAAGTGGCATGCGTCCGCTCCTGTGACTTACAGGAGTCCCGGGACTCGCACTCGGGCCTCTGGACTCCTAGCCTGGTGTTTTCCCCTGGAAGTTTCTGAACCAAAAAAAAAAAATGTCTGAACCAAAGCACACAACGAGATTGTGAGTGGAAATCAGCTTCAGCTTCCCTGGTGTTTCTCCACGGTGATCCTCTGTGTCTGTCACTGAAGGGGCCAGGATGTCACCACCAACGGTAATGACCTGGGCTTTGAGTGGAGCATTTAACCTGTTCAGCCAGCTGTTGGAAGTGCAGAAACTAGTCCCTCCCAGTCACAAACTACCCCGGTTGCTCCACCATCTGCATCCAGCTTCATTACTTAATTCACTTTGCAAAGTTAATCCAGTGATCCAAGCTCCTAATAGTCCCCAGTTTGACTTCCGCAGCTTCCCTTTCTCTCCACACCCAGCCTATCCCGGGCTTCTGGGTCACCAAGAAGCAGGACCCTTTCTGTTGATTTCTTCTGGGAGGAGGCCATCTCAATAGCCCTTTACAACAACCCATGAGGTCTCCTGATTTCCGTGTTTTCTTGGAGTCCCCTGAGCTTTGGTTTGCAGCACAAGCTCATTCCCCTCTGTGCTCCCCTCTCACTGTGTGGAACCTTCTCTAATAGACTCACCTCTGGGGAGAGGACGTGCTCCTTTCTGGCCGCAGCTGCAGCCATTCCAATGTACATCAAAGCGCTCGTCTTTCTATCTCCACTTCTTAAATGGTTTTGCTTTTTCTCTATTTCTTCCTTCTCATGGGCAGCTCAGAGCTCATCTGTGACAGTGACCACCCTTCTGCCCCAGCCCTGGCCCCACGACCTTCCCTAACACTGCAAACAACTTCACTCTTGGCCTCCTGCTGGATATCTGGTCAGTGGCCTACATTCCTCCCACTCATGCCTCTTTCTTTTCTTTCTTTTCTCTCTCTTTTTTTTTTTTTTTGAGACAGGATCTTGCCCAGGCTGAAGCCCAAGTGGCAAGATCAAGGCTCGCTGAAGCCTCAACCTCCCAGGTTGAAGCCATCCACCCACCTCAGCCTCCAGAGTAGCTGGGACCACAGGTGTGCACCACGATACCTGGCTAATTTTGTCTTTTTAAAATTTTTTTGTTGACAAGGTCTCACTATGTTGCCCAGGCTGGTCTTGAACTCCTGGACTCAGGCAATCCTCTCACCTTGGCCTCCCAAAGTGCTGGGATTACAGTTGTGAGCCACCATACCTGGCCTGCATACCCTTTTCTATCTGGCTTTCTAGACTTTAAAATCTTTCTTGGTGGCTCCAGTTTGCCATATCTTATGGTCCTGAAATGACCCCTGTCACTGAGGCAGGGAGCAGAGGAGACTGGGAATTTGTGCTGATGGTAAATAGATATGGTTTGAATCCTGGCCACTGCCCACCAGCCATGTGACCAAGACTTAACCATATTTTTTCGGGGTGTTATGCAGAGATAATGAGATCAAAATTGTAAGGCATCTAGTACTGACATAATAAGCTCTCAACAAATGGTAGCTATTTAAGTGTTAATAACAAATCCTTTTCAGATGGTTTCTATAACAGTGAATTTGCAAATAGTTGGAACCTCTGAAGTGCTTCCTCTCCTGGACTGGAAACCCCTTGAGGTCAGTGGCCTTGTCTGCCTATTCACAATGTCCGTCTAGCACATGGTAGGCTCTTAATATATATATATATATATATATATATATTTATTTATTTATTTTTTGATGAATGAATAATCTAGACTATCCTAAATTCTGATATCACGATTCCTTTCTAGTATTAAATTCCAAATTATAATACATGTTAATTGCAGAAAAATTGGAAAATATTTTTTAAAAATAGGAAAACAAAAAAATAGCTGTGATCCTAGTCCCTAGAGATAGCCACAGTTAATATTTTGATATATTTCCCTGCAGCCTTTTTTTCTGTGCTTATGCATATTTCAAAAATTTTATATTCTGGCTTTTCAGTTAACATAATGAGCATTTCCCTGTGTTACTAAATAATCTTCATAAACATAATTTTAAGTGCTACATATATTATTCTGTGCTATGAATGTATCATAATTTATGTAACCAATACCCAGTGGTTGATATTTAAGTTGTTTCCATTTTTCACCATTATAAATAAAGCTACACTGAACATCCTTTTGCATAAATCTTTGTGTATATCTGAATTAAGATTTTCTACCAAGAATAAATTCTACAAAGTAAATTGCTGATTTAACAGTGAACATGTTAAGGCCCCAGGTAAATGTCTTGTTAAATGATTCTTCATAGAGGTTGCACTCATTGTCTGTCCTCCTGCTATCAAGGTATGAGAATTCTCACCACCAGAATATTGTTTAAAATGAAAGAGTCTTTGCCAAATGGAGAAGTGAGACACAAAGCCTATTTTTTCATGATGATCGCTCCTGTCTTTGACAAGCATGGTGCTTGTCAACTTGACATTTTGGACTAGATGGTTCCTGGTGTGAGGGGCTGCCCCGTGCATTGTAGGATGTTTATCAGCATCCCTGACCACCTACTAGATGTCAGTAGCACCCCCTTTCCCCCAGTTATGATAACCAAAAATATCTCCAGACATCACCAAATGTCCCCTGGGGAACAAAATCGCCCCTGGTTGAGAATGATGGAGTTATACTGTATTAACTCTATTGGTTACAAGTAACAGAAACCAACTCTAAGCAAAAATGGGGACTTTGTGAGAAAAGTCTTAAGGTATCATGGAACCCAAAGGCATGGATGCAAGTGGGCCTCCCTCCTCTTTTCAGGGCTGCCTCATTCTTTTCTCTTGCTGTAGACTGGCTTTCTCTCTATTCTTGACTCCAAGGAGGAGAACGGCCACCACTAATATTTCTGAAGTTTATGTCCCTGTGTTTATGAGAAAGCCAGGCTACCCTGGAGTCTCTTGGTTCCAAATGCTCAGGGAAGGACTCTGAGATGCGCAGCTTAGGTGGGCTATGCACAGCTGGTCCCATCAGTGTGGCTGTCGGGGGACAGGAAGGACACGTGGCTCCTGGAGATCTTGTTGTATCCATGTGGATGTGCCTGTATTTCTAGAAAAAGGCTGCTGGGCAGCTGATCCCTTAGGACTCCCCTAGATGCCCACACAACAGAACACTGGACACTTTGGCTACAAGGCCAGGGACTGTCTATCTCAACGGTGTACCCTTCATAGTTCAGCCTAGATGTCCAAGCTTGGCTTGATGGTGGCAACTGCTCTGCCACCCAGGCTTTGGTTTAGGGGTCTTTTGGGGGTGGAGGGGCCAATTCCTCTGTGACTGACTGGCTGATGCAGCTTACTTGAACAGATCCAGCCTAGAGAGCCAACTTTAGAGACTGGCGTTTGCAAGTCTGTAATGGTGTTTGACAGGGGAAGTAGATGACTGCTGGTCCTCCTTCATAAACTCGGCCTTGGAGTGTGCAGCCACTGAGGTACAGGGGTCCCGTGCTGTCCCTGCACTAACTGGAGTGCTCAAAATCCAGCCTCTGCCTTCAAGAAGGGAGCAGGTCGGTGTGCAGTCAGCATGGCCCTGAGACCTAGCCCTGAGGACAGAGACTGTCCCCTGTGGGCACCTGGAGCTGTTGGTAAATGGGCAGAAAGGCAGGGCTGTTACCCATACTTGTATTAGAGGAAGAGCATCCTCTTTTTCTCTCTCTTCTTTTTTTTTTTTTTGAGACAGTCTTGCTTTGTTGTCAAGCTGGAGTGCAGTGGTGCAGTCTCGGCTCACTGAAACCTCCGCCTCCTGGGTTCAAGCGATTCTCCTGCCTCAGCCTCCCAAGTAGCTGGGACTACAGGCACACGCAACCACGCCTGGCTAATTTTTGTATTTTTAGTAGAGATGGGGTTTCACCATGCTGGCCAGGATGGTCTCCATCTCTTGACCTCGTGATCCTCCCAAAGTGCTGGAATTACAGGTGTGAGCCACCACGCCAGGCCTAGCATCCTCTTCTGAAAGTCTTTCCAGCACACAGATGCCATTCCTGCCTTCACCTCGCCGTGTGGTCTTGGACGGTCATTTCTCTGAGTCTCAGTTTCTTCATCAGAAATGAAATGATACCTGCCTTGGCTTCCTCATAGCATCTAAAAAGACATTTGATAGAAAAGTGCTTTCAAAAGCAGATTGCAGGCCGAGTGCAGTGGCTCACGCCTATAATCCCAACACTTTGGGAGGCCAAGGCGGGTGGATTACTTGAGCCCAGGAGCTTGAGACGAGCCTGGGCAACATGGCAAAACCCTGTGTCTACAAAAAGTACAAAAATCAGCCGAGGATGGTGGCACACGCCGGCAGTCCCAGCTACTCGGGAGTCTGGGGTGGGAGGATCACTTGAGCCCAGGAGGCAGAGGTTGCGGTGAGCTGAGATTACACCACTGCACTCCAGGCTGGGTGACAGAGAGAGACCCTGTCTCAAAACAAACAAATAACAACAACAACAAAAAAAAAACAAGAAACAAAAAAAACAAAAGCAGATTGCAAAAGCAGTGCACATCTTGTAATAAAGATGCTTATGATCATTATTTCAGTTCTGGGGAAATTCTAAATCCTTGGCGCCACTTATTGCACAACAGAGGCAGGGCCTGGGGCAGTGCTGCTTCTGCGCCATCTCTCTCAGACCTGGAGCTGGCTCCAGATTTCTGCTGCCTGAGAATATTTCAGGGAAGTTTCCCCTAGAAACTGAGAAGCCTAAACGTGAGTTGGGTTTTTATTCCCTGTGTGACCATGGCCATGTTAATTCACCTCTCTGGGCTTCTATCTCAGCATCTGTGAAGTGGGCATAATAGTGGCATCTATTTATACGTCATTTATGCCTGTCAAGTGCTTGTGCCTGGCACAGGGTAGGTGCTCACTCAGTGGTTGCTCTGCTTGTTTATATCACAATGTGGCAGGCACTGGGCCAGGTGCCAGGCACTGAGAGATGAATAGAATGTAACCAGCCCTTAGGACACTTATGATTTACCAGAGGAGATGGCACAAAAAGCATATTAAAAAGCAATGTGGCAAATTAAATGGTAGTAATCCTACCAAGTGATAGTGCTCCTGGGATTGGGTTCCTCTCAGATGCTCCCCAGGGGCTACTGGAGTGATGTCAGGTAAGGCAGGACACCAGGAAACACCCATTCTCCCGGGCTCTCTGCAGAGCAGGCAGCTTTTGGACCTACCCGCTTCAAGGAGCTGAAGAAATGCCTTCCTCCTCACCTCTCAGGCTCACAGGGAACATTTTTCAAAGGGAAAAACTCTTTTTTTTTTTTTTTTTGTAGTCATCCAATGTTTTCAACCCTAGGGCAATGGTTAGGGAGAGAGGACATCTTGTGGGTGGCCTATAACACGGTCAGTAACCTTATGCCACAAAGACTACACATGACATAGAAAGGTACTTATGTTGTGCACCGAGGAGGCACTGACCCTGTGCATTCCCAGCACCTCAGAACCGCTAGCTCTGTGCAAACCTTCCAGCCACCTCGGGCCCAGGAAGGCGGGGTGGGGGCCTTGATTCAGAAAAGGCAGAGACACTGCAGTCCTGGGGAGGGGTGATGTCTAGAGCCTGAGAGGAGCAGTGGAGCACTCACGGGAAATGCAAAGCAGACGCAAGACCAGGCCCAGAGCCTGGCGGAAGTGGGGAGGGGTGGGGCAGGTGTGGGGCATTAGTTGGGGAGGGGCTTGCTAGGAGGAGGTGACTTCAGAAGGCATCTGCGGACTGTGGTCTGGGACTCTGCTGGATGTGGCATGGCTTTGCCACCCTCAACTCTGGTGTGTTAAAGAGGTAAAGGTCACACGTACACATGGATGAGGACAGGGAAGACACACAGGAAACAAAAACAGATTTGTTAGGGCTGTCGAAGAGTGGTTTGCTTATTTTGAGGCCTCTCCCCATTTCTCTTTTCCTTATCAGGATGTGTACGGCACCCGCATCCCCTCCATCTGCACCCGCAGCCACAGCCACAGCCACAGCCAGCGCTATGTCCCGTTGCCATTCACATTCATACCTGCAACGTACACTCATACATGTGTCGGATATTTGCGAAGAAGCTCCCTTTCCCACCTAGGTAAATGCTAGCTTCCAGAAATTTGAAAAAAAATGAGTGTAATTCCTACTGGGTTGGTTCCCAGCAGGCCTTTGTCTTTCCTTCTCCCTCCTCCAGGCCCCTCTTCTTTCCTTTCCTTTCCTTTCCCTCCTCTACCTCTTTCCCTTCCTATTCTTCTGCTCCTCCTCCCTCCCAGCTGGTTCCCTATTTCCCTTACCCCCTCAAACATCTCCCCTCTCTCCATCCCCACTCCCAATCTGCCAAACCCACCCCCACCTAAAAATGTGGACCGTGGAGTCTCTGACCGAGGTTTCCTTTCCCAACATGGGGAGCCCGGGCTGGCTGCGATTTGTTGGGGACAGGTAAGAAGGTGCAAACTTGGGGGTTCAGAGGGAGGGCGGGGGGGGTGGCTGGGATGCATGGGGTAGGTAGGGGTGGCAGTTTTTCCAAATTATACATTCAGGCCATATGTGGAACCCTTGCAGAGACCTGGCTTGCTGTTTTTCTGTCTCTTCCTGGTGTGCTGGGCAGTCTCTCTGTGCTCATGGTTTAACCAGTCTTTCTTTATTTTTATTTTATTTATTTATTGTTTGAGACAGAGTCTTGCTCTGTTGCCTAGGCTGGAGTGCAGTGGTGTGATCTCGGCTCACTGCAACCTCTGCCTCCAAGTTTCAAGTGATTCTCCTGCCTCAGCCTCCCGAGTAGCTGGGATTATAGGCACCCGCCACCACGCCCAGCTAATTTTTGTATTTTTAGTAGAGACGGGGTTTCACCAGGTTGGCCAGGCTGGTCTCGAACTCCTGACCTCAGGTGATCCACCCGCTTCGGCCTCTCAAAGTGCTAGGATTACGGGAATGAGCCACCATGCCTGGCAGCTCTTTTCTATTTCTTTTTTGGCTCTCTCTTGTCTCTCTCTCTTTTTTTTTTTTTTTTGTTTTTTGTTTTTTTTTTTGAGATGGGGTCTTGCTCACTATGTTGCCCAGGCTGATCTTGAACTTCTGGGCTCAAGCCATCCTCCTGCCTCAACCAGCCAAGTAGCTGGGATTACAAGCGAATGCCACAGCACCTGGCTGCTCATTTCCTTTTAGCGCTGAATAATATTCCATTGTCTGGATGTACCACAGTTTATTTATCCTTCCACCTCCTGAAGGACACCTTGGTTGCTTCCAAGTTTTGGCAACTAGGAACAAAGCTGCTATAAACATCTGTGTGTGGGTTTTTTTGTGGACATAAGTTTTCCACTCATTTGGGTAAGTACCAAGGAGTGCGACTGCTAGATTATATGGTGAAAGTATGTTTAGTTTTGTAAGAATCCATGAAACTGTCTTCCAAAGTGGCTGTACCATTTTGCATCCCCACCAGAAATGAATGAGAGTTCCTGTTGCTCCACATCCTCACTAACATTTGGTATTATCAGTGTTCCAGATTTGGGGCATTCTAATGTATATAGTGGTATCACTTTGTTTTAATTTGCATTTCCCCAATGGCATGTGACGTGGAGCATCTTTTCATATGATTATCTATCATTTGTACATCTTCTTTGGTGAAATGTCTGTTAAGGTGTTTGGCTCAGTTTTTTCTTTTTTTATTTTTATTTATTTATTTATTTTTTTATTTTTTTGAGACAGAGTCTCGCTCTCACCCAGGCTGGAGTGCAGTGGAGCGATCTACGCTCACTGCAACCTCCGCCTCCAGGGTTCAAGCTATTCTCCTGCCTCAGCCTTCTGAGTGGCTGGGATTACAGGCACACGCCGCCATGCCCACTAATTTTTGTATCTTCATTAGAGTCGGGGGTTTGCCATGTTGGCCAGGCTGGTTTTGAACCCCTGACCTCAGGTGATCCTCCCGCCTCGGCCTCCCAAAGTGCTGGGATTACAGGCGTGAGCCACTGTACCTGGCCTCGACTCAGTTTTTAATTGGGTGTTTGTTTTCTTATGGTTGAGTTTTAAGAATTTTTTATATATTTTGGATCAGATATGTCTTTGGCAAATATTTCTCCTAGTCTGTGGCTTGTCTCCTTCCTCTCTTGACAGCATCTTTTGCAAAGCAGTTTTTCATTTGAATGACGTGCATCTTATCAGTCACCTCTGTCATGGATTGTGCCTTTGGTTTTGTGTCTACTTTTATGTGGACTGTACCAGCCACGGCCTCCTGACTCCCGACTCCCGACTCCCCTGCATTGCTTCATCTCCTGCCCTCTCCGCTCTGCACTTTGAGGATCTCTGCAAACTCCACTCACATTAGCCTTTCAGTTCCAGATGGCCGGGCCCCTCCCTACCCCAGACTGCACCTGCTGTGCCCTTCTCCAGTCAACTCCCACCATCCTTTGAAACTCAACTCAGTATCACTACCTTGGGAGAGCCTTCCCTGGTGTCTCAGTCCAGCTCAGGCCCTGATTATATCTCCCCCAGCCACTGTACTTCCATTTCCTTCCATGTATCACAGTCATAAGATGCAGTTTCGCTGCAGCTTCAAGGGTTAAGTTCCATGAGAGCAGGTGGAATTTCTTTGTTGGTCACTGTCTTATCTTCAGAATCTAGCACTGTGCTTTGCATATAGTAATAATTATTATTTTAATAGCAAAAATATCTATTGTACCACGTGCCAGAAACCCTTCTAAACAGGTTACATATTTAGCTCCCCTGTTCTTCTCAATACCTCTGTGAGTATTTGATTATTGCCAGTTTATGGACAAGATATCTGAGGCCCAGTTTGCTTGAGATCACACAGCTAGTAAGTGGAAAAGCTGGGGTTCCAACCCAGACAATCTGGCTCCAGTGTTAATGTTCTTTATAATACTGGGTTGCTTCTCAAATGCAGTATATCTTCGTTGACTGAATGACAGCATGAGAGAGAAAGAGACAGAGGCAATTAGGAAATGGTAAGAGAATACAGCTAGTTAAAGACCAGAGTGAATGAAATTACCATTTGTCTCTGAAGGGCTCCTTGATGGTTGTTGATCGACTGACTGATGTAGTCTGGAACAGGGACATGTAACCTGCCCCAGCCTCTCTTTCCTTCTGGGGATCAATAGCCTGGGTCCTTCTCAAGGGGCATGTTGGAAGGATGCCACAGGGTGCCACAGTACCGAGCTGCCTGGGGTAGAGACAGCCTGGGCTGCAGGTAATGACCACTGAGATGTGCAGGACACCAATTAAAAAGCTTCAGTCCATTGTCTCCAGCAGTTCCGGCTCAGTTCCAGCCCTTTTTAGAGAAAGATACTGGATTGCCCAGGGGACCCCCAAGGCCCTTGCCCCCATTCCTGCATCTGGTCCAGGCTCTGGCCACATCCGGGGCCTTGTTACAGACTTTTGGGGCATTTCCTCAGCCTCCTCCAGTCACCCTGTGTCAGGAAATGTTGCTATCCAATTGTAATGTCTAAAAGGAATTTTCCCCGACAGTGAGAATATAATTGAGGAGCCTCGGGGAATGTTATTCTCCTCCCTGGGGACACCTGGAGAGCATAACCTCCATCCACAGGGCTGCAGGGCTGGTTCTGCGAGCTCATTCATTCAGCAAGTCAGGGCATTTCAGTTGTCCCTGCTTTTTTTTTTTTTTTTTTTTTTGAGACAGGGTCTCACTCTGTAGCCCAGGCTGGAGTACAGTGGTCCTCTCTGCAGCCTCGATCTCCTAGGCTCAAGTAATCCTCCCACCTCAGCCCCCTAAGTAGCTGCGACTACAGGCACATGCCATCACACCCAGCCTCAGTGGTTCCTGCTCTTTAAAAGAGAAGAGAGGCAATTTTCATGCAGGAAGCAGGGACTTGGTGGGCCTCCAGAATGAGAACACAGGCTTTGAAAGGTACAAGAGGTGTGGAGAAGGTGCTGACTCACAGAGAAGCTGATGTGAAGCCAGAAGACCCTGGAAAAGATGGTGTTCCCCTCAGAGCCTGCCAGGCTCCTAGAAAGCCTTGACCAAGATGGTGGCCTAGGACTCTGAGGAAGAAGTCGGGCCTCCCTGAACCAGTCTAGATTCCTGCTTCCTAGAGTTATAAGGAAGGTGTGGCCAAGCAAATATAGGACAGGCAGACATGCAGGGGAGGAATCTTGAGGCCAGAGAGGAATGAGCTTTCCTTACCCAGGAGTCTGGAATGAGATTCCTGAGGCCCAGTGCAGGAGGCCAGCAGATGGCTGGCACACACAAGTACACAAGTGCTCGCACCTTAAGAAGATTTAAGGGAACAGGCCCCGGGAAGGTCAGATGCCTTCAGACCCAGAATGTTGGCAGTCTGACCCCTGAGCTTCTGTGGTTAACACCTACCCCTTAGAGAGGTGGGGCAAAAAAAAGGAACTACGGTTTTGGGTGGCCTAGCAGTGCCAACCAATCTAACCATTTTTTCAGTGCGGTCAGGACTGAACTGGAACTTGGCGATAGGTCAATTCATTACTTTTGGATATTTCTGAGGAATTGTCCTTAACGTCTTAGAAAAGTCCCCCCATACCCCCCCCCTTTTCTTTTTTGAGACAGAGTCTCGCTCTGTTGCCCAGGCTGGCGTGCAGTGGCACAATCTCGACTCACTGCAACCTTTGCCTACCAGGTTCAAGCAATCCTCCCACCTCAGCCTCCTGAGTAGCTGGGATTACAGGCATGCACTACCATTCCCAGATAATTGTTTTTTGTATTTTTAGTAGAGATGGGGTTTCACTATATTGGTCAGGCTGGTCTCGAACTCCTGACCTCAAGTGATCCACCTGCCTTGGCCTCCCAAAGTGCTGGGATTATAGGCCTGAGACACTGTGCCCAACTTGAAAAGTCTCTTTTTTAAAATCTTGTTGTATTAGGGCATTCTTGCGTTGCTATAAAGAAATGCCTGAGACTGGGTAAGTTACAAAGAAAGGAGGTGTAATTGGCTCATGTTTCTGCAGGCTATACAGGAAGCATGGCAGCATCTGCTTCTGGGGAGGCCTCAGAAGGCTTCCAATCAAGGCAGAAGGCAAAGGAGGAACAGGCACAATGTATGGCAAAAGCAGGACCAAGAGAGTCGGTGGGGAGGTGCCACACACTTTTATTTTATTAGTTTATTTTATTTTATTTTTTTGAGACAGTGTCTTGCTCTAGAGTGCAGTGGCACAATCTCGGCTCACTGCAACCTCCGCCTCCCCAGTTCAAGCAATTCTCCTGCCTCAGCCTCCCGAGTAGCTGGGATTACAGGTGCACACCACCATGCCAGCTAATTTTTGTATTTTTAGTAGAGACAGGGTTTCTATATGTTGGCCAGGCTGGTCTCAAATTCCTGACCTCAGGTAATCCACCTGCCTCAGCCTCACAAAGTGCTGGGATTACAGGTGTGAGCCACTGCACCTGGCCCACACACACTTTTAAATGACTAGATCTCGTGATAACTCACTCACTATCTCGAGGACTCACCAAGCCGTGAGGGATCCATCCCCATGACCCAAACACTTCCCACTAGGCCCCACCTCCAGCATTGGGGATTATAATTCATCATGAGATTTGGGTGGGGACAAATATCCAAACTATATTACTTGCCTTATTATGTTAAGGGAAAGAAACCATTCATACATTAAATCCATTTATATGAAATTCAAGAACTGGCAACACAAATCTGGTGGTAGAAATTAAAACAGTGGTGGTCTCTGGTGGAAATTTTCTAGGGTGATGGAAGTATTCCATACCTTGATTTAGATGTTGGTTATATGGGTGTATACATTTGTCTAAACGTGTTGAATGGTACACTTAAAATCTGTGCATCTTACTGAACATAAATTATAATTATATCTCAAACAAACGAACAAAACAACTTTTTCTCTGTCCTTGGGAAGAAGAGATTTTCCCACTCTTCTTCATTGTAAAGAGGTAGATGGCTGGGGCCCCCAGGAAGCAGTTAAATGTGGTAGAAAACACATTGGCTTTGGAGTCAGGCTCTGATTCTGATTCTATTTTGCCATTTGTGGCCTTGGACAAGCTGATCTCCAATTTTCTAATCTTTAAAATGGGCTGGGAGAGTGTTGTGATGATGAAATGAACTAATACAGTAAAGTGCCTGGCATATAGCTGGTGCCCAAGCAGCTCCTTCTGCAGGAAGCCTTCCCTGACTTCTCCAGACCTGGTCAGGTACCTTCATTTCCACACACCAGCCTTGATGCATGTGTCATTCAAAGCCGTGTGTCAACAACAGTGCAGATCTTTGACAGTCACAGACCTTTGTGGGTATTTACTGAATAGTCAAACGGCAAATATGGAATCTGCAAATGCCAAGAGCCTACTATATTGGAACATTTTTATCTTTCTGGTCCCTACTCTCTCCTAGGCTTTCAGATCTTGAGGGTACAACGTGGTTATTTCTCAGCTTTGCTTCTCCCCAGCTGTCAAAAGTGCTCAATAAATATTTGACCACTGAGTAACTTTTAAGTTACTCATGCATGAGTAATTGAATAAATGCATGAAAGAATGCATACACTAGTGAATGTATGAATAATAGAATGAGACAATTAGTGCATAAGTGGGGGAAATAGGTGAATGGTGAATCAAGAAATGAGTAGAGAATTAAAGGAGTGAAGGTGAAGGAATGAATGAAGCAAAGCTGGTTACCTTTCTTCCAAAGGGCTATGTGCTGGTGACAATACAAATGGGCCCATTCCAGAGCCCTGGAGAGAGTTAGAGCTGGTCCACCTGACAGACAGCCACGAGTGACAGCCCAGCCACTGGGGTCCTCCAAATGTACTCATTCTGGAAACTTCTCCTTTCCTTCCAGCCACTATCTGCCACCCCTCCATGGAGCTAGGGACGCCAAGGGACTGTGAGGCAGGGCATGACTCCAGGGGGCAGAGAGCTAAGTGCATGGCTGTCCTCTCTCTTCCCAAACCCTTGTCACAGGCCGTGAGGGCCTGCTGCCTCCCCTGATGCCATGTTCCTGAGCAGATGTTCCTCCTGTCTTGTCAGCAACAGAGCGGCTGTCAGGAGTCCGCATTATATATCTGCTCGGTAACGTTTACTGGGATTTAGTGTTTAACAACTGTCACTCCAATATATCTTTTCTTAATCCCTTCAGATCTGCTGCTGTAGCAACTTTAAATATTTATCAACACTGTTCGTGTGTTCGTTGGTTGGGTTGCAATTTTCTTGTAATTAAAGATTTACAAGACACTGCTCCAGACTTAGGAAGGATTGGTAGAGAGCAAAGAGGGAGGGGAGGAGAGCTCTGGTCTTGGAATCTGTTGTTTGGAATCCAAAGCTAGAATTCACTCTCCTGGGAGAGGTGGAAGCTCATTCACTGGTTCCCATAAGCCCTCTCCTTTCCTTCTCTTTCACACGGCCCCATGTTCAAAGTGGACCTCACGGTAAGATACAGACCAGGGTGTGGTTCTTCCTTCCTCTGGAGTCCCTGCTATGTGCCAGGCAGGGGCTAGGTGCTGAGGGACAGCAGGGAGCAGACAGAAAAGGTCCCTGCTGACATGGCGCTTCCATTCCAGTGGCAGAGACAGACAATACACAAGGAAACAAAGACATGTTTTAAAATCAGTTTAGATTTTGAAAAATGCAGATGTTGACTGAGGATGGGACCTTAGTATCAGAGTTCTTTATTGCAAGCAATATAAATTAGTTCTGGAAAACTTAAGCAAAAAGAAATTTCTGGAAGGATAAGGGGAGTTCTCAGGATCAAAGGAAAGAAGAAGAGAGAAAAAGAATAAAAGAAGGCACAGGAACCAGTGCTATTTTGGGCATCTTTATGGCAGGCACTCAAAGACAGTCTCTTCAGGGGGTGGCCACTGGGACAAATACCTCCCAACGGTGTTCTGGGTTTGTGATACTTTGTTTAGGATTCACAGTCCAGGGACAAAGGCCCTCACTCTTTGGCCAGGGGAGAGCAGGATGAAGACCAGGGACTTGTGATTGACAGTTTCATCAGGACTGTATCCACTGGGGGAGGAGGAGTTATCCAAAGCAAGATCTGGCGATGCCGCAGGAAGGGGCTCCAGGTGATGGACCTGGGCATGCTGAAACATCAGTGTGCACTGTACTGCAGGCCATTCTAAGCTGTAACCAGGACAAAGATAGGAGCTGGGCCCATGAAGAGCTGGGGGAAGAGAGAGCCGCAGGTGCAGAAGCCCCGTAGTGCGAAAGAGCTCAGTGGGTTTTCAATGGCCAAGGTGCTGGGTTCTGCTTTCCCCCACAGATTGAGCTTGAAAAATAAGCCTATCTGCAGTTCTCAGGGTCTCCGTGGGCCATGTCTGGGGACCAAAATTTTGTTTATTCCAAATGGAATAGGATAGAAGGCCCAGCTCTAGAGGGCTTCTCCCAGCTGCTGTGACAGGGAAGCCAGTGAGGGTGGAATTCTAGTTAAGTTGTGTTTCTGGAGGCCTGCAGTGGACCAGGTGTTAGGTTCTGTAGAACAAGGATGGAAGGGATATATCTACAGCTCTCAGAGCACTTAACTTGTGAGAGAGGTATAAATAGATTACAGCAGGGCAGTGATAGAAGCTGGAGAGTTGATTTGAAACCTTCTTTTGCAAAACAGGTTTAATGCTACCAATTTCTCCATAAGTACTACTTTTGTGGCATCCCAGGGTTTTGTTATTGTTGTTATTATTGTTTTTGGTTTTTTAGAGACAGGGTCTCGAATCTCTGTTGCTCAGGCTGGAGTGCGGTGGTACAATCATGGCTCACTGCAGCCTCGAACGCCTTGGCTAAAGCCATTCTACTGCCTCAGCCTCCCAAGTAGCTACGCCTACAGGTACCTGCCAAGTGCCTGGTTAATGTTTTTTATTTTTACTTTTTGTAGAGATGGGATCTTGCTCTGTTGTTCAGGTGGTGGTTTCAAACTCCTGGCCTCAAGTGATCCTCCTGCCTTGGCCTCCCAAAGCGCTGGGATTACAGGTGTGAGCCGCTGTGCCCAGGCCAATCCCAGAGATTTTGGTATGTTGTGTTTTTGTTTTCACTCAATTCAAAATATTTCCTAATTTCCCTTTTCCTTGGCCTATGGATTGTTTAGAATTTGTTATTTGATTCCCAAATATTTAGGGATTTTCTAGTTACGTTTCTGTTATTGATTTCTAATTTATTTCCGCTGTGGTCAGGGAATATATTTAGTGTGACATAAATCCTTTTAAATTTATTGAGTTTTATTTTATGGCCCAGAAGATGATTTCTCGATACGAGTTTCACGAAGACTTGAAAAGAATGTGTCCTCTGTTGTTGGATGGAGTGTCCTTGAAATGTTCATTAGGTAAGTTGGTTGATAGCATTCAAATCTTCTATATCCTTGCTAATTTTCTGACTACTTGTTCTATCAACTATTGAGAGAGGATATTAAAATCTCTGACTATAATTAAGAGTTGGGTTTGTCCATTTCTCCTTGCAGTTCTATCAGTTTTTGCTTCATGTATTTTGGAGCTCTGGTAAAAAGTATGTAAATGCTTAGAATAGGTATACAATAAAGAACTATTCAGCCTAATTATTAATTGAGAAAGTTGAGAAACCAGGGTCTAGGGCTAATTATTAGCCACTACAAAAGCAAGACTCTTGTATGTACTTTATCTAATGCCCCATGAATTATGGGACTTTCTAGTCTGGCCTGTAGGAACAGGCACCATTCCTAGCTTGTGTGAGTGTTGAGCACTGTTCCCTTTCATTATTATTATTATTATTATCATCATTATTATTATTATTATTATTTTGAGACAGGGTCTGGCTCTGTCGCCCAGGTGGGTGTGCAGTGGTGCAATCATCACTGCAGCCTCGACCTCCTGGTCTTGAGCCTCCTCCCACCTCAGCCTCCCAAGTGGTTGGGACTACAAGTGTGCGCCACTGTGCCTGGCTAAACTTTCATCCTTTTTTTTCTTCTTTCTTTTTTTTGAGATGGAGTCTCACTCTGTCACCCAGGCTGGAGTGCACTGGTGAGATCTTGGCTCACTGCAACCTCTGCCTCCCGAGTTCAAGCGATTCTCCTGCCTCAGGCTCCCAAGTAGCTGGGACTACAGGTATAGTTCAGCTTATTTTTGTAATTTTAGCAGAGACGGGGTTTCACCATGTTGGCCAGGCTGGTCTCAAACTCCTGACCTCAGGTGATCTGCCTGCCTCAGCCTCCCAAAGTGCTGGAATTACAGGTGTGAGCCATCACGCCCGGCAAACTTTCATCCTTCCAGATGATTCTTTCCCCAGCCTCGCATAGATTCCTGACCTACATGTGCTGATTGGTACTCAGCTGAATACATAAGGTGGGGACTGTCTCTTTAGATCTCCAGGATTCTCTCTCTGTGCAGTGCTTTCCTCTCCAGTTTTCTTTCCTGTGAATTCTAGCTGCCTTGTAGCTAGAATCTCAGCATTGTCTCCTCCACTCGGGGAATCCATCAGGCCTCACGTGGGCCCCTCCTCCCTACCTGGAAGGGGGCCTGGAAACTCCCTTAAGACAGTAAGCTGGGGCAATCACAGGAGTGACCTTGTTTCTTTCCCATCTCTCAGGGATTATTGCCTTTCATTATCTGGTACACTGTATCTTATAAATGGTTGTTTCACAGATTTTGTCGCTTTTGGTTGTTTTAGGTGGGAGGGTAAATCCTGTCTCTGTTACTCCATTTTGGTGGAAGGTCAGTCTCTTTGGATTTGGTAGACCAATTTTCAGATGCTGTGTGGAACTTGGGGCAAACCCAATAGGAGAATCCCAGTGGAGATCCTGAGGCTTTGTTTCTTTTTTTTTTTTTTTTTTTTTTTTTGAGATGGAGTCTCGCTCTGTCGCCCAGGCTGTAGTGCAGTGGCGCAATCTCAGCTCACTGTAACCTCTGACTCCCGGGTTCAAGCAATTCTCCAGCCTCGGCCTCCTGAGTAGCTGGGACTACAGGCACGTGCCACCACACCCAGCTAATTTTTTTTTATGTTTTTAGTAGAGACAGGGTTTCACCATATTGGCCAGGCTGGTCTCAAACTCCTGACCTTGTGTTTCACCCACCTCGGCCTCCCAAAGTGCTGGGATTACAGGCGTGAGCCATCATGCCCAGCCTGTTTCTTTCTTTCTTTATTTTTTTTATTGCCTATTCTGCTCGTGTAGAAATCCCGAGGCTTTGGAAGCAAGGACATACTCTCTTTCTCAGGTGATTATTCTCCTTTTAATAAGTAGTTTAGGCTTTTTATTGGCCCTAATAAACTGAACCCCTGACCGTTGGACACCACATCAGCATGCAACCCAAGCTACTGCTCATCATGAACCATGCCATGAATTCAGGCATGTCCGGCCACACTCCATAATCAAGTGCAAGTGATATGAGTGGGACTGGGCCAAGCAGGTACCAATGGCTGGTGTAAATGGGATGAGCTACTCACTTAAGCTCCAGTGTGCCTACTTCTGCTGCTCTGCTGCCTCTCCCTCAATCTGCATCTATGGCTGCATGCAGAGTTGACTGAGGAGGAAAACACCCATGACTGCTTTGCAAAACTCTTCATGATATGTTCGTCCCCACTCAAAGTAAACTGCTCTAGCCTTCTAGCTCCATTCAGAAGAGCCTCCGAAGTAGAGACCAGAAATCCTTCTAGTGGGCTGTGCTTTGAGCAGTACTGCTTGTTGACTGCTTTACTTGGAAGGAGAGATCGACTGAGGTAAGGCTCTTACTAATGCACGTGCTTTGCTAATGGTTTGGCCAGATGATCAAAAATGTGGAAGGGGTAAGATTCAAGGATTGGTGACAAGGAAGTTTAGAATAACAGAGATGTGGATGGGCCTCCTAGAATGACCAAAGAATATGAGAATATTTATGTTTCATGTGAACATTCATCAAGCTCCTATTGGTAGTCAGGTAGACAGGTAGACAAGGTGGTCTACTTTGAGGATGCTGATTAATCTCTTCCTCCAGTGACGCAGGGTTTGCTCAGTGGGCTCATGGACAGAGTGGCCCTGATGGCTCAGTGGAGGGCTTGGTATAGGCTTAGCCACATGGACTCACCAAGACTAACCTGGTTACAGCCGTTGTTGAATGCCCAACATTCTACAGCAGAAACCAACCCTGAGCTCCTGACTTGGTGCCATACCGTGGGGGGACCAACCTGCTGCTTCAGGCCCGGTTGGTTATTTGAGATTCCACTCATGGAAGAGTTATGCTTTGTCCTTCTGAAACATACACTCCTTGTGGAATGACGATCTCTGCCAACCAGTCATTTTTGTAATGATGGGGCCAGCCTGCAGACCAATTTTTGTTACCTTTTTTTTTTCTGCCCAAGGAATAGATATATGGTACACCAGGCTGTGACAGATAGATCTTGCTGCAATGGGCTTATCATCAAAAGGGTCCAGAGACAGCCTGTGAAGTGGTACATGATCCAGAGTCAGCTACAGGAAGAAATGAATAACCAAGTCTTGACACATTCATGCTTTGCACGGGGCTGTGTTTGTCATGCTGATGAGGGCATGGCAGTGTGGCAGTGTGTGCGTGCGCACATGTGTGTTGCATGCCAACATTTCATCTTTCTGATCAGCTGGGTGCGGTTTTTTTTTTTTTTTTTTTTTTTTTTTTTTTTAGACGGAGTTTCACTCTTGTTGCCCAGGCTGGCATGCAGTGGCACGACCTCTGCTTACTGCAACCTCTGCCTCCCGGGTTCAAGTGATTCTCCTGCCTCAGCCTCCTGAGTAGCTGGGATTACAGGCGCCTATGACCATGCCCAGCTGCTTTTTTGTATTTGTAGTAGAGACAGGGTTTCACCATGTTGGCCAGGCTGGTCTCGAACTCCTGATCTCAGGTGATCCACCCGCCTTGGCCTCCCAAAGTGCTGGGATTACAGTGTGAGCCACCGCACCCCGGCCTGGGGATGGCTTTAAGGCAAGGAATGAGTGAGGTAGTGAGGCAGTCTCTGACCCCTTGTCTATTCAGGGTCCAGCATACATTCTGTCACAGGGGTAGTTTCATTTGTTGGATGAGGAAAAGAAAAAAAAAGAAAGAATGAATGTATATGTCCTTTGAGTCAGATGGGACCACAGAGATTATCTAGTTCCTCCTCAACCACTGTGGGAGTCTCTTTGTTGATATCCCCGACTGGTAGCCACCTAACTTCTGCTTTTTATTTGTAATAATAGTTAGTGTGAGGCACTCCAGTTTATATGCTTTAATCTCATATAAGCCTCAAAACCTGAGGAGGTATTACTACATTTATGTGCCAACGAAGAAACTGAATTTCCGGTAACTTCCTCAAAGTCACACAATTAGTAAATGACAGAGCCAGGAATTGAAGCCAGGTATATCTGACTCTATAGCTTAAGCTCTTAAGCACTGTGCTGTACTGTCTTAATAAATACTGTGACAGAGCTCTCACCACCTCACAAGACACCCTGTGTTATCGTTAGCCAGCTTTGGCTGTTAGAAAATTTTCTTCCATTGAGTTGAAACCTCCCTGTAACTCACATACACTGTTCTAAATGTCTCCTTTCAAACCTCTGAGAAGGATTCCCCTCCCCAATTCCATGTGACATTCCTACACTGTCTAAGGATGGCTCTCTTCCATCAAGGATGGAAGAATCCTATCTAGTAGACCTGTATGCTAAGAACCCTTGCTGAAGGAACTCAAGTTTACCAATGTCCTTAGTATTTGGCTCTCAGGCTATGGAAGGCGAAGGTGGACCAGTGCAGAACGTTTCAGTACCATTACCTCCTGTGTAGACACTGCACTGTTATTAATACCATTTCACCTCGCGTTAGCATTTTTGGCAAGAGGAGTTATTCCACTGCTTGGCTGAATGACTGTGGAGCTTAGCTCAGAGCAGGAAATAATATGAGAGGGCAAGAACAGCAGGCTCCCCTGGGTCTGGCCGGAGTCATGTGTGATTATGGTCTCTGAGTCTAAGTGCTGGGGCAGTGAGGGAGGTGAGGGAGGTAGTGCACGAACTGGGGGCTGCTCCTGGTTTGTGGGGTGATGCTTGACAATCGTTTCTTCTAGAGGGGAGCTGCAGTCTGGGGGGCATGTACACGTGTGTGTGTGCATGTACTGGCATGTCTGTGTGTGTGTGTGTGTGTGATGGAGCAGGGTCAGTTCCTAGAACAGCTGTGGAGCACCTGTCTTAGCCTCACCTATCTGGGCCTTTCTGTTCTCACTTTGGGTGTGACTGAATTTCATTTCACTGGGAAAACCGTCTTGCAGACCGAACTAACTCTGCGCACGAGATGGCTCCCGGATCCTCCCCCATTATTCTGAGCCCCAGTGCAAAGAGATAGATAAGGAGGCTGCACCTACCTGGATGCCCAGCAGGTCCAAAAGGCCAGCTCTGGCAGCCTGCAGCACGCCTGTGAGGACTCACCTGAGCCCCAGGCCTCTGCGCTGCCCGGGCTTGTCCCCCCAAGCCTGTGCGTGTGCGCTGGGGGTTACTGCTCTCCTCCCATGGAAATGGCCTTGGATTTCCTCTAATTAAGACTTAACATGGCTCCTGACAGACAGGAAGAATGAGGGTGAGAGGTCCTGGATACTTTATCTGACTTTCCTAAGTCCCAAAATAGGGAAGGGAAGGGGAGTCAAAGTGTATTCGGGGGACGACGGGACGGTGGGCGCAGAGGAAGGATGGGTGGGGCTCTGCTCTTCCTCAGCCGCCACCTTGCTCTGTCACGTCCCTCTTTTCTGAGGGACCCAGAGTGGCCATTGCGAGAGGGAGTCTGAAGAGCTACAGTCCTCAGAGACCTTCAGAGACTCCAGCTGGGCCTCCCCGCCTGGAGGAGGGAAGGGAAGTTCTGTGTTCTTTCTCATCACAGGCATTTGTGCTCCCGAAGCATCATAGCTCTGCAGCCTGGTGTTTTGCCTGTAACTGGAGAAATGCTTGCTGCAAAGCAATTTTATGTGTGGTAGTAGAAAGAGGCTGAGATTCCAGTCTCAGCTGTGTGACCGTGGGTAGATCACCTAACCTCTCTGAGCCTCATATTTCCCATCTGCCAACTGCAGAGACAAATACTGCTCTGCTCACCTCACGGGATTGTGGTGTGGATGGGAAAAGCCTCTGTGAATGGCTTTCCAAATGTGGGGGCTGTAGGGACGAGGATGACTACAGTGGTGGTGATGAGCATGTTAGCACTGACATGCCAGTTTGCCAGCGGGTGGTGGGCTGGGAGCTTACCTTTTGTTACCACGGCTTGCATTCAGAGTTGTCAGTTTTAATGGCTATTGTGGGAGACAGGGTCCTTTAGAAAAGGACACGACGATGAGGCTGGCGCCAGGTCAGGAGTAATTAAGAGCATGTATATGTGCATACCTGCATTTTTTTTGAGGGGAGTGGGCTGGGAGTACCTTCGATGCTAGATAAATCTGGCCAGACTCCAGCCCTGGCCAGGCCACCTGGCCACCTCTAGTCTAGGCCCTTTGGCATCAGAGAACCCTGACTTACATGATTACTATGAAATTTGTAACCATCTCGCTCCCTTCTCCTCAATGGCACAGAAAGGACTTGCTATGCTCTGCCACGGTGGGACTGCAGGGCCTGGAAGTCCAGAGAAGGATGGACTTGAATTTCCCAGCTGGCTCCAGCCTAAGAGGACACTGGGCAGCAACATTTTCTTTCTAAACTGAAAGGTCTCCTTTATGTTCTGGGATCTCTGATCCAGCGATCCCAGTCTATCCCCGGGTCATGGGTAATGCCTGAGGTTGGCCACCAGGGCAGGGAGGGACCCAGCAGACATCTGGGACTAGGGCAAGCATCTTGGACTTCCATTCCAACATTGCCCCTGGCTAGCTGGGTAGCAAAGGTCCACATTTCACCCACCTGCCATGGGAGAGGTTGGTGCTAGAGGGGAGAGAGGGCTTGGGCTCGGGAATACGATAGACTCTGGTTTGAATCCTGGACCTGGCACTGGGTAAATCACATAAACTTTCTGGACCTCTGTTTCTTTGTCTAAATGTGAGGTTAAAACTCTTGACCACGGCACAGAGGATGTTTCGGGCAGTGAAAGTACTCTGTAGGATACTGTAATTAATGGTCGATACATGTCATTATACATTTATCCAAACCCACAGAATGTATAACATCAAGAGCTGCCCTAATGTGAACTGGAGACTTCGAGTGACAACAATGTGCCCATGTAGGTCATTGATTGTAACAAATGGATCACTGTGGTGGGGCACGGGGGAGGCTGTGAGCATGAGGGCAGGGCTGTGTGGGAACTCTCTGTACCATCTGTTCCATTTTGCCCTGAGCCTAAAACTGCTCTAAAAAGTAAAGTCCATTAAAAAACAAACAAACAAACACAAAGCAAAATAAAACAAGATCATGAATTATTCGTGAATCATGAATTCAGAATTATACTTAGTCTTCTTGTAAAACATAATTTTGTATACTGCTTTAGATGACACAAACGACTCCCTACCTCCTGGGATTTTTGGGAGGATTGAGGATAATGTGTCATAAACAATGTAATAATGGGGGCAATAATAATAATAATCCATAATAGTAGCTCTAGTTGTACAGAGACCCCTGCCCACCCCTCCCATCCTCTCCTGGACGGCATGGGAGTGAAAGGGCTAATAGATGTGGAAATTCTTTGGGCTTCCGCATGCTGTTTTTAGTTAAAATGACATGACAATAGTACTTACATAAAATTTTCTAATCCTTTGTGTCCCTAGAATATGAAGCTCTGGTGCCCTGGGGTGAGCACGAGCACTTCTAGAGGCAGGCTTTCCTCCCCTCCTCTCCCCTGAATCATTGCTCTTCCCGTCTGAATGTTCCCAGTTCAGGGACTTGCTGTTTATCAGCCACAGGAAAAGATTCAGGATGCAATAGGGTAGATTTTTGTCTTGCTAAGTCTCCATGCTCCACAGGGAATGGCCAATTAGAGTCCAGCCCAGACTCATACATCACTGTCACACCTGGCTCCTTGGGCCTGGGGGCCGGGCCGGCTCCCAGGGAGGCATCCATAGATCATAGCCATCTCCTAGCAAGAGGAAGAGGAGGTGTGGGTGGGGTGGTGGGAGGTGGTGAGGTCTGGAGGGGGCAGAACATGATCTTTGGTCGGAAGCTGGAACGTCAGGGAGGGGCTTGAAGAAACCATGAATTCTTCATTACTAAGTGCCTTGTGGCAGGGTAAAGCCAGATAAATTTAAATATGCCCATCACCCAGAGCTTTAGAGCAGTTTTCCAAAGAAACTCAAGGGTTTGTGTTTCATTTGTGTGGTCCCTGCCCCTTTTTTCCCCTACCCTTATTATCCATAATTCTGGGGAGGCACTAAAAGCAAAGAAAGAAATCAAAAGCTCTGGCTGATTTTTAACTTGATATGGTGGCAGGTTAGAGCCCTCTGTGGTTGTGTGGGTGCGGGGCGGGGGGGTAGGAGTCTGATGCCCACCCACCACTCCCAGGTCTCATCATCCTCATGGTTCAGTCCTTCACACATTCACTCATTCATTCACTCTTCAAAAAGCTTTTAATAAACACCTACACTGAACCAGGCCATGTTCTGGGTGCTAGGGAAAGAAGTGGACAAGACTCTGCTCTCTTCATGGAACCGAGTATTCTAAGGACACAGCCAAGTCAGGAGACTACACCCCTAGTATAATAAGTCCTGTGGCTGTACTGAGAAGAGGTCCTGACTCAGAACTGGAGGACATCATGGAAGGCTTCCTGGAGGAAGTGCCATCTAGGCTGAAACCTAAAGGATGAGTAGAACTAACCAGATGAAAAGGTAAGGAAAAAGGGTCGTGTGGAGGAGAATGTTCCAAGCTGAGAGAACATTGTGTATGAAGGCCCAAAGGAGACAGCAAGTGTGGTTTGTTCTAGCAACTGAAACACATTTGATGTGGCTGGATCTCAGAGTGACGGGAGAGCCAGCATGAGATACCGAGGCCAGGTCATGCAGGGCTGTAATTGTGCAAGGCATCTGGACTTTAGTCTGAGGACAGTAAGGAGCCTCAGAAACGTTTAAAGCCAGGACATGGTAGCACCAGATTTGGATTTTAGAATGAGACTATTGGCTGCTGACTCTCCACCACAAAGCAGAGAGGCTGGGTTGGAGGATATCATGGTGGATGGGGGAGAGGTGGTAGTGGCATTGCACCTCCACGCCTGTTCCTGCACTTCCACACCTGTTCTCCCAAGTCCAGACTCTCCTTTCATCTCCTTGCCCTTGCTGTGGACCACGCAGCCAACTCAGGAGGAGGTGGTAACCCACTGCTTCCTCATCCCAAATCTGTCTCATTGCTGTGGGAGCTTCTACCTGAGACCACTGCTCTTGGGTATTTGTTTTACTCCTTGCCTTGGAAGCCCTGGTTTTCTTTGTTCCTCTCAGGCCTGCTGGAGGTCATGACTCCTCAGGGGCTGGATAATGGCCATGAGATTTCTCCAGAAATGAAAATAGGGGGTTCTGAAGAGAAGGCAGAGAAGGGCTGAGATTGCAGGCCAAACCCGACTGAGGTCTTGGGTTCTCATTTCAAGTCCAGAGGTGCTGGGGCAGCTCCTAGTTCTCAAAGACTCAAACGCAAAGCAGGTGGAGAAATGGAACCCTTGTGCACTGCTGGTGGAAATGTAAGATGATGCAGCCACTATGGCAAACAATAAAAAATAGAATTACCATATGATCCAGTAATCCCGCTTCTGGGTATATATCCAAACAAATGGAAAACAGAGTCTTGAAGAGAGATATTTGCATACATCCATGTTGATAGGAACCTTATTCACAGTAACCAAGAGGTGGAAGCAACCCAAATGCCCATTGGCAGATGAATGGATAAACAAAATGCGGTACATACATGCCAGGGAATATTACTCAGCCTTAAAAAGGAAGGAAAGTCTGACATGTTCTACAACATAGGTGAACCTTGAGGACATTGTGCTAAGTGAAATAAAAGACAAATACTGTATGATTCCACTTACATGAAGTATCTAAAGCAGTCAGATTCATAGAGATAGAAAGTAGAATGGCAGTTGTCAGAGGCTGGGGCTTGCGGGGATGGGGAGTGGTTGCTTAATGGATACAGAGTTCAGTTTTGCGAAATGAAGAGTTCAGGCTATTGGTTTACAACAATGTGAACATACTTAGTACTATTGAACACTTATAAATGGTTAAGATGATAAATTTTGTTATGTGCTTTTTACCACCATTAAAAATAAGAAGAAAAGAAAGTAGATGATTTACATTTTTTAAAAAAGCAAAGCAGGGCTGGGCACGGTGGCTCATGTCTGCAGTCCCAGCACTTTGGGAGGCCAAGCGATCACTTGAGCCTAGGAGTTTGAGAGCAGCCCAGGCGACATGGTGAAAATCTATCTCTACAAAAAATACAAAAATTAGCCAAGCACGGTGGTGCTTGCCTGTAGTCCCAGCTACTCAGGAGGCTAGAGTGGGAGGATTGCTTGAGCTCAGAAGGTTGAGGCTGTAGTAAGCTATGGTGGTGCCACTGCACCCCAGCCCGGGCGACAGTGTGAGACCCTGTCTCAAAAAACAAAAACAAGCTGGGCGTGGTGGCTCATGCCTATAATCCTAGCACTTTGGGAGCCTGAGGTGGGCAGATTACTTGGGGTCAGGATTTCGAGGCTAGCCTGGCCAACATAGCGAAACCCCATCTCTACTAAAAATATAAAAATTAGCCAGGCATGGTGGTTGTGTGCCTATTGTCCCAGCTACTTGGGAGGTTGAGGCAGGAGAATCACTTGAACCCGGGAGGCAGAGGTTGCAGTGAGCCTGGGCAAGAGAGTGAGACTCCGTCTCAAACAGCAACAACAACAAAAAACAACAACAATGACAAAACTAAAACACACACACACAAACCATACACATACACAAAACCGAAACATAGAACCTGCCCTTTCTTTTAAAAAAATAAAAATAAAAAACCAAAAAAAAGCAAAGTGAAGGTAAGGGTGGGGAAGGTAAGGCTTTGGATAAAAAACCAAAAAAAAGCAAAGTGAAGGTAAGGGGTATAGGAAGTGAGAGGTCAACCCTGACTCAGACTCCCCCCATTTGAGTAGCACTGGATTCCCAGGCACTCTTTCCCCTGCCTGGGGATGGGTGGGGACCCAGAGAGGCAGCTGGAGGAGAAGGCCCTGGGTGCTTAACTGAAACCAAAACAGCCAAGAATCACAGCTGCCATTTTCCCTAACTGCACCTCCTCCACACACATACCCCACTTCTTCTCTCCTCTCTGCATGTATTTATAACTTACTTTCCCCTTGGCATTCACCTTAGCCTGTTTCTTCTCTATAAAAATAGTGGGGAGGCTGAGAGGTGGAAACACAGTGTTGCTTTGGGTCCCGTACCCAGGAAGGTCTGCCTTCCTATTCCTGCCACCTGTTTTGCCTCTCTGGGGTCCCACTGGAGGCAGAGGATGTACGGGATGAAAGCTGGGAAGCCTCCCTGCCCATACAGGGAACGTCAGCATGGAAGGAAAGGCTGCTAATTGCTGCCGATTTCCCTTTCACTGAGTGAAATGTGACTTTGCACTTCTCCATCCTCCTGCTGGCCGAAGCAGCCAGACCTATGGGGGACCCTCAGCACCGGCCTGCTGGCCACACACCCAGATGGGCTGGACATAGGGCATCCGGGGGCTCGAGTGGTTTCTCAGATGTGCCCTCCTCCACTACCTCCAGGGGTGCCTCTAGCCCTTGGCTTCCTCTGCCACATGGCCTGGTCCATTGCATGTCTATGTTCCTGAGATCTTGACCATATACATCACAATTTAATTCCTCAATATGCCTGGCATGTTAGATGTAGATTTTTGGGCCTCTCTTGACTGGAGTGTGGCGGGTATCCATATAGGAGGCCAACAGGAAGGTGGTGGTGGTGATGGTGGATCTACATCCTCCTCCAAAAACAAGCCCACTCCCTCCTCCTTGGCAAAGCCTTCGCCAACCATTCTAGTCTTCTTGGACCTCCCCTTCTGAACTGTTAATCTGCATTCCCCTTAATCTAACTCTTGATCATCGCTGACTTGTACTTGACATAGTACAGAAATTCTTTCACTGGTAATACTGGACTCCTTAACCAAGTGTTAGACTCCTGGAGGGAAACACTCTTCATTGCTTCCTCGATTTTTTGCAGCAGGATCTTTTTTTTTTTTTTTTGAGACAGAGTCTGGCTCTCTCGCCCAGACTGGAGTGCAGTGTTGCAATCTCAGCTCACTGCAACCTCCGCCTCCCAGGTTCAAGTGATTCTCCTGCCTCAGCCTCCCGAGTAGCTGAGACTACAGGTGCCCACCACCACATCTGGCTAATTTTTGTGTTTTTAGTAGAGACAGGGTTTCACCATATTGGCCAGGCTGGTCTTGAACTCCTGACCTTGTGATCTGCCTGCCTTGGCCTCCCAAAGTGCTGGGATTACAGATGTGAGCCACCTCACCCAGCCAATGCAGCAGGATCTTAAAGAGGGTCCTTGTTTTGCAAAAATATTGCGATGCTTCATTCATTTTCCAAAGGCCTCTCAATTTTTGATACCCAGATCGTTGACTTGGAGGTAATTGTGTTGTCATGATCCTTGTTGGTTTTCTTTTCTTCAGTTTAGTTGGTCTCCCCTAGCTCCTTATCTTTTCAATGGCTTTGTGGATGATGTAAAAATTTCTCTAACATTGATTTCATCAACCTCATTAAAATCTGCATTTTGGGAGGCAGGATATGCAATTTCACTTTGCAATTGGCTTGTGTATTTGTTTGTGTGGTGGTAGCCACCCACAACTAGCAGAGACCAACAAAGACCTTTGACACAATAGGTTGGGTCAGGCTAAGGCTGGAATTAAACCAAAAGAATCTATTAGTGAGGGGTTAAGGGTAAATTGTGGTTGGTTCATTAGTGAATATTTTTGTGTTATCTTGACTTTAGCTTCCCAGCACAAGCTATGAGAGCCAGAAAGTAAATTTTCTTTTTTCTTTTCTTTCTTTCTTTGTTTTTTTTTTTGAGACAGAGTTTCACTCTTGTTGCCCAGGCTGGAGTGCAATGGCTCGATCTTGGCTCACTGCAAACTCTGCCTCCTGGGTTCAAGTGATTCTCCTGCCTCAGCCTCCCAAGTAGCTGGGATTACAGGGGCTCACCACCATGCCTGGCTAATTTTTGTATTTTTAGCAGAGACAGGGTTTCACCATGTTGACCAGGCTAGTCTTGAACTTCTGACCTCAGGTGATCCACCCACCTTGGTGTCCCAAAGTGCTGGGATTACAGGCGTGAGCCACCATGCGTGGCAGTCAATTTTCATAGAGAGGACCTCTGTACTTTGACGGGATTAACGCACCCTTGATTTTTCGGCTGTATTTTCTCCTTACCATGGAAGGAATTTGGATAGCTGCAGTCTAGTCGTGTGGGAGGCCAAGCCTGGGATGAGGAGCTTCCAGAGTTTAGAGCTAACGAGTGGGGGTTACAGGGCAGTGGGTTTCAGTTGTCTAAGGAAGAACTTTCTAACAAGTAGCATTGTTAAGCTGGACGGGCTGCCTTGTGAAGTGATGTGCTTTCTGTCACTTAAAGTATTGATGCTGGGAAGAGATGATGGGGAGGTTGTAAAGACAACTTCTGTGGTGGGTGGGAGGTGGGGCTGGAGGACCCTTCGGAATCTGAGAGTCTATTATTCTACATCTTTTGTTCTTTGTTACCAACTCCTGAGGACAGCACTGGATTTGACTCATCCCTGCATCCCCCGAGCACCTCGTGGGTGCCGTAAAGGCAGCTGGGTTGATGATGACTGAGTGAAGGAGCGCCTGAGTGGATGAGCCACTGAGTGAATGAACTGGAGTTCATCTTCCACGTGGTCCTCAGCATCCACTCTAGAAGCCAAAGCCAAGGTTAGGCTTCACTCAGGTCTTCCCATGGGAGCCAGAGTGAGAGATGGGACCCTGGGGAAGGAGGAGGAGAGGGAGGCTGTTAGGATGGGGGTGGCTGGGTAGCTTATAAAGGGCGTTGTAAATTTATTGAGCACTTAATTCAGTGACTCTCAACCTTGGCTGCATATGTAAGTCACCTGGGAGCTTTTTAAAAGGTGGTAATGTACGTATCTCACCCCTAGAGACCTGGATTTAATTGGTCTGCAGTGCTGAGCATCTGGTTTTTTTAAAGCTCCCCAGGTGATTCTAATGCACAGCCAAGGTTGAGACCCACTACCTTACTATGTGCCAGGTGCTTTGCATGTTTTCTCATTTAATCTTCACAACAAGCTCATGAGTTACGTCACTAGCTCTTGGTGTAGTCCCTGGACCAGCAATCACTTGGGAACTTGTGTTAGAAATGCAAATTTCCAAGCCCCACTCCAGACTTAGGGAATTGGAGACTCTGAGATGAGGCCCAGCAACCTGTGATTTTGCCACCCCTCCAGGTGATTCTGATGTGTGCTCAGGTTTGAGAACCACTGAGTAAGGTAGTAGCCACCTATGGGTGAGGTGGGGAGGTTTGGTTACTAGCCCAAGGATGTTATAGTAAGGGACAGTAAGTACAAAGCTGAGACACACCATACTGCTTGTGGGGAGGTCACTAGGGTCTCTTGATAGCCCTTGGTTGACTCTTTCTCCTCCTCTTCACTTGGTAGCAAAATTTAGCTCCATCTGGAGCTCAGTTGCTCTTGCCCTGGGGAAGCAAAGGGCAGAACACCCCAGGATTCACTCTAAAACAGTTTTATTAGGTGCTGAAAATAGCTTCTGGCAGATGGTGTGTGTAGAATGGAGGACTGGAGTAGAGCTGCACCTGACATTTACAAAGTTGTGTGTGTTTGTGCAAGCACATGTACATGCATGTGTGAACACAGCCCCTGTATTTGCATGTGTGCATGGTAGGGTCAGAGAGGTTGAGGAATTGGGGCAGAGGCATAAAAGAGCAATGGAACAGGATGGGTGATTCTAATCTACCCAAGATTAAAGAAGAGAAGAGCTTTAGATTAGGTTTCTCATGGCACTTGGCTGAATCCACTGCCTTCGCTGGGCACGTGGTGGTGGGACAGGTGTTGTTGACTGGTTGAGTGAGCTCTAATGTGGCTCTCAGGAGCCAGAGACCCATGGATGATACGGGGGATTGCAGTGAAATTCCAGAAAGCTTGGAGGTTTTGATGGGCTGAAAGCTTGAAGGTTAAGAGCCGACATAGGAGGCTTTGCTTTGCAAATGAAAACACTGGGAATTCACTTCATTTTCCCTATGTTAAAGGAAATGTCTATATACATAAATCTGGGTTCCATTTAGGTGTAGAGATGGTGAATGTTCTTCGATCTAAACCTCGCTGGCAGACCCTCAAATTGTTGTGGGTGGCTCTGTTTCCCTTGGCAACTCCCAGCTGTAGTCTCGAATCCTGCAGCTGTATGATTCCCGCACCCTTTAATGCAGTAGTTCTTGACCTTTCTGGGTTTTGGACCTATTTCAGTATCTTATTAAATCTAAAGTGCCCTCTCTCCAGAAATGTTACATCTACATGTACACAGAAAAATTTGTCAGCAATTCATGGAAGTCCATCTTTGACCCACTGACTCTAGTGGAGGGCCCTGAGAAAAATGGCCACCTGTCTTCCAGTGATCCTTAATTCAGCCCTTCCCTGAGTCAGGAGACCTGGGTTCTAGTTCCTCCTCCATCACTCACTGTAAAATGAATAGAGGTAATGGTATTTGAGCCATTAGAAGGTAGGGGCCTAAACCAGATGTCTCCTTGAGGCTGGCTTCAGCTGAGAGAGCTTGGATTTTACCGATCAATGGTCTTAGAGCTTTGGAATGGTGAAGCACACACTCAGCTGTGGCTCCTCTGCCTAGCTCAGTGCCACCCCCATGCATCCTGGGACCACCCTGTGGGCTCTTGCTCCTGCCTGCCACACACGCAGCTCCTATAATCCCCAGTGGCGTAAGCGATGCCATCTCTTCTTTATCCTCTGTAGTTAGCCCCTGATTGTTTCTGTTGAGTGTTACACACCCCTGAGAGGAGTACACACCATCCACATGCTTGTTCTTTATGTAGAAGGTAGTGCGGTAACTGAACAGGGCATGGGAATTCGGAGTGAGAGGACCTGGGTTCTAACTCCAGCTCTAACCTTATTAGTCGTGTGACCTTCGTAAGTTATTTAAATATTTCAAGCCTCAGTCTCTTTACCTATAAAAATGAGGATGATAATATCTGTTGGGCCTAACTTACTGAGCTATTACTAAGAGCAAGTGAGAAGGTCACTATCAATGAACTTAGCCATCCTCCAAAATAGACCACACATGATCCTTTTCACATAGGTTGAGTCTGGGTCTTTCTTCCTTCCTTGCAGGCTGGCAGCCTGGCCCTTTTGATTCATAAGGGTGGCAACTAAAAGTTGAGGAATAGCTCCTTAGCGTTCTCCCAACCTACTAGTGTTCTGTCATGAAGGAAGTTGCCATTTTCAAACAATGGCTCTTTCAGAGCTCTGAGACATCCAGAAGCAACACAAACCAGGTCTCTTTAAGTGTGCAGTGGCACTGAAGGTGGGAGTAGGAAACTATGGTGACTGGAAATTTCTACAACCAGGCGGAGGGTTCTTTGGCTGGGGGCTGTAGATAAAGGAACTGAGGGAAACACAAAGGTTTGGAGTATGTGGTGGAGGTGGAGGGTGGGGGTACTGATTCATGTCTGTAACAGGGCCACGGAAGGTCAATAAGAGGCAGAAGCAGCATTTGGATGAGGATAAAGGAGAATGGCTTGGGAGGACATTGTGTATGAGAATGACATGGCCCACTTGGCTAGAAGGAGACCATGGAGACCATGTTTTCTCATCGATGCTGTAAAATAGGCATGCAGATTAGGAAGCAGTGAGGGGCGACTCCTGCCATCTAGGCACTTGCTTGGTGCAGGGCTGAGCTCAGCGTTAAGCCTCTGATGAGTTCCTGACTTGCCCAGCTGACATCTAAGCTCAAAAGCAAAGAAAGCCCATGGACAAAAGCTGTTCTGGACTTAATTCTGACCAACAAAAGAGAACTGATTGTTGAGGGGAGTGATCAGAGCCTCCAGAGGAAGCCACTACAGAATTTTAGAGTTGATAGGATCCAGGGAATGAAAAGGTGAGAATACAAAGTCAGACTTCTACAAAGCATGCTTCAAAACTTCAGAGAAAGGAATCATCAGCTGTGGTTCTCAAGAGAATATAGTTCAAGAGGTTTTAAAACTGAAGTCCTGACAATAAAGTCACAAATTATCCTGAGTTAAAAAAAAAAAAGAGGGCAGCCTCTAAAAATAAAAGTGGCTGCACAGGGAGCTCTCCAGTGCACACAGATCTTAGAAGTCCTTCTGCTCTCCAAAAACTTTTGACATACTTTGAAAGTATATATATATATATATATATTTTTAAATTTTGAGACAGAGTCTTGCTCTATCACCCAGGCTGGAGTGCAGTGGCTCAATCTCAGCTCACTGCAACCTCCACCTCCACAAGTTCAAGTGATTCTCCTACCTCAGTCTCCCATGTAGCTGGGATTACAGGCACCTGCCACCAAGCCCAGCTAATTTTTGTATTTTAGTAGAGATGAGGTTTTGTCTTGTTGGCCAGGCTGGTCTCGAACTCCTGACCTCAGGTGATCTGCCTGCCTCAGCCTCCAAAAGTGCTGGGATTATAGGCGTGAGCCACTGCACCGTGCCGAAAGCATATAAATTTGAATACGATAGGGTAGAGGGGTGAAAACAGGGCCTTTGGAATCAGACAGCATTTGAATTCTGGGTCTGCCTCCTACTAGCTGTGCAACCTTGGATGGATGAATCATTTAACTTTTCTGAGCTCTAATATCTAAATCTGTAAAATGGGGATGATTGTACCCACTTGATAAGGTAACTGTGAATGAAATGAAATGGCACCTGTGAAATTCCTACTACAGTGCCTTGCATGTAGTAAGTGCTTCATCAATATTAGCATTATTGCCATTCTACAAAATATAGGAGATGTTCTTAAACAAAGGGTAACTGCAAAAGAATAGTGCAAATGGGTAAGAATATACTGGATGGGTTAAAGGACAGGTTGCTCTGACACTTGTGAAACCTGTGAAGAACACACAAGAGTTCTTTGGGTAAAATCATCAAGAAGGAAGGCAGACGTCATGCCTGGACCTGTCAAAGTGTTGTTGATGCTGATGGAAGAGCAGGATAGTGACTTGCCTGTGTCACTGTTATCTCCCTTGGAATGATGTGCTTCAACAACAAACACAATTAAGATGGAGTTGAAGGCCAATCAAGATCATTCCTCACCACCTTAAGTGAGTGTCATTCTCACTGCAGGGCACTGATGGAGCTTACAAATGTGATGGCGGAGGCTTGATCTACATGAACTACTTTGCATAAGTACTTTGAAGAATCATGGGGAAACGGAGAGGAGTCAGAAGACTGCAAAAGAGCAAATGTGGCTTCAATTTTCAAAAACAGGATAAAGGATAGATTTAGAAAGTACAAAGGTGCATTTAGTGTCCATCCTGGCAAAATTCTAGAGGAAATTATTTAACCGAGGTGACAATCCTGGTAGCCTCTTATCTGGCCTCTTCACTTCTGCACTTGCCCACCCCAGACTCCCATGCTCTGTTCTCAGTCTAGCGACCAGAGGGTTCCCTTTAAGTCAAATCATGCCATGTCTGCTCAGAACTCTCCAGGGGCTCCCCTTCTTACTGAAAGGAAAAGCCAGTCCTTCCAGTGGTCTACAGGGCCCAACACCACCACCTGCTGCTTCTCTGACAGCAGGTCTCATGGGTATTTTTCCTCCACCCCCTCTTGCTCGGGGCACGCTAGCCTCCTTGCTCTTGGCCTTCACCCTTGCCATTCTCTCTGCCTGGATCACTCTTCCTCCAGACAACTGCTTAGTTCACTCCCCCATGTCTTTGCTGAAATGTTACCTTCTCAGTGAGGCCTTTTATGGCCACCCTATCAAGGCCCCACTTATCTTTCTTGACATTTTTTTCTCCTTAATACTCATCCCCATTCAACATATTACATATTTTTACTTACTTCTCCTGTTCATTAGCTTTCTCCCCTTACTAAAATGCAAGGTCTCCAGCCTCTGGGACTTTTGTTTGTATCCTTAGTTCATAGAACAGCACCTGTCGCATGGTCCTCTTTACTAAATATTTGTTGATTGCAAGGGAGGGAGGAAGATGGCTTGGGTAGACTTAGAGTTCACTAGACAAGGTGACCAACCATCCCAGTTTCCCCAGGACAGAGAGAGTTCCTGAAACATGGGACTTTCAATGCTAAGATCAGGAGAATCCCAACTGGTCCCCTACACTAGACCAGCCGTTCTTCTCTACTTCTGTGATACGGTGATTAGACTGATGGTTCCCAGGAATGCTACACACTCATTACATCCTCATCTCAGCTCAGCCTCTCACAAAGTCTGTCTTGATAACCCTACAGATGAGATGCAGAAATACAGGCTGCAAGATAGTGTATTTGGGTGGTTTGTAGCTAGCTGAGCGGCCACACCAGACATGTTGATGAATGGACCCATGGCAGGCTGGCGGGAAGGCTGCAGTGGTGAGCCACAGAACTGTCTCTGGGCCCAGTTCTGCTCTGTGACCTATCTGAGCCATGCATGCGGACACAGAAGGCAGGATTGAATTTGCTAGTGCACTAGGGAGGGAAAACTAATACACTCAACAAATTGGGTTAGGTTTTGAAATCATTTCAATAGAAAAAAATGATAAGCCATCAGCTTAAACAGAAGTAAGTATCATTTTCTTTCTTTCTTCTTTCTTTTTTGAGAAGCAGTCTTGCTGTGTTGCCCAGGCTGGAGTGCAGTGGCACAGTCTCGGCTCACTGTAACCTCCGCCTCCCAGGTTCCAGCGATTCTCCTGGCTCAGCCTCCCGAGTAGCTGGGATTACAGGTGCCTGCCACCACGCCCGGCTAATTTTTTTGTATTTTTACTAGAGATGGGGTTTCACCATATTGCCAGGCTGGTCTCGAACTCCTGACCTCAGGTGATCCACCCCCCCTCGGCCTCCCAAAGTGCTGGGATTACAGGCATGAGCCACCACTCCTGGCTGTAAGTATTATTTCCTATTTAGGATTAAAAGAAAAAAAAGCAATCTGAAATGTACAGAAGACACCAGGCTTAATAGCTGTTTTGTTTTAAACCCAGTACATTTAGTTGCCCACATGCCTGGTCTAGTGTTGAAGCTAAGACTTCAGATGTTACCTGTTAGGCTGTGTTAATGGACACATAGAGCCAGAGGAGGGCAGGGGATAGTCCCACTGTCCTTCCTCCTGCTCGAAACACACCAGAGCCACATGTCCAGCTCTGTACCAGGGGAGGGGCTGCTCATGTTCAGCTGCTCCATTTCTGGCTATTCCAGGACACAGCAACCCACCGAGTGCCTTGTCCTCACTCTCTCCAACTGGGGAGTGCCCCTGCGGTGTCATCTCTCTTTACAGAAGAGATGCCATGAGCTACTTTCCTTTCCCCACCTCACCTAACTTCTCTGCTGTAGCCTAACAGTCCAGGACCTGGGGATTCAGGTGAGACACAGATTAAGTCCCCATAACTGACATTTTCTTCTGAGAAGAAAGCATTCACATTCAAGGACTTGAGCAGCTCTGAGCCCCATGGCAGCTGAGATGCCACAGTGCGTCAAGTACAGGCACATGGCATCTGGGAGGCAGAGCTACATCCTCTGGGTTGGATGATTTCTGCCTTTCCCCAGGGGTTCACAGCTTGCAATCATTCTGTAACTGAGGAGTCTGGTGGAAATGGGGGTAGCAAAGAGATCAGAGCAGGCAAATGGTCCTCTGGGGCTGGGAACACTCCCTCTTTCTACCTTCCAACTGCAGGCACATGTACGTGTCTTTTCAGCCTGAGGGATCTAAAGCCTTGGGACTTCTGGATCTGCAAGTGGTCCCTGTTTTGGTAGCTATTGACTGACGAGGGGCTCTTCGGTAAGTTCTGGGGTGGCAGTGGAGGTGATGATGGGAGGGTGTTACAGGGCTCCACAGGCTCTTACAGGGCTCGGGAGCTTATTTAAGGGAACACCTTGATTGTCCATGTGTCGTGGGCCAGAGAAGAAAGGCAGCACTGTGGATCTTCTGGGAGGAAAGGAGAGGCGTCGATTTCTGACTCCAGTTTTCTATGATCAGCACAGACTCTGTCCCACCTCCTCCCTACAGAGCTTCTGGATCCTGGAGGATGGAGAATAGGCTAAATTGCACAGGCCAGCTCCAGTCCATTGGCAGGGCTGCCTAGAACATGGCTGTGATGATCCCAAAGCTCAATAGCAGAGAACCCTGTGGGGTGCTAGGAGTGTCTGCCAGGGTGCCGCAGGGAAAGGGGAGCATGTGTGTAGATGTAGAAAGCATCTCTGCCATCCCCTCCCCTAAAGAATATATAACATGGCCATGCAGAAAAACACTTGTGAAAGGAGCTGCTGCCCTCAGGACAGCGTGTCATTGAAATGGGGGCTGAGCAACCCGTCAGAAGAGTGGGGAGGAGGGACCATCCTCCAGCCCCTTCCCAGCTCTCTTCTGGAGCCATAAGCCACAACACTGTCTATGAAAAAGCTGAGGCCTAGAGCAGAAGGAGTGCAAAATCCCAGCTACTGCAGGCCTACGCCCAGTGGTTCTCAAAGTGTTGTCCTCAGTCTAGCAGCATCAGTGTCACCTGAAAACTGGTTAGACATCCAGGTTCTCAGTTGTTATCCAGCTCTAGCAGATGGGAAACGCTGGGGGCGGGACCAGCCATCTGTGTTTAACAAGCCCCACAGGTGACTGCTGTAGCCTTGAGTGAGGACCTCGGCCAAAAAGAAGGCTCCTACCGTGGCTGTTTGCTGATGGTCTTCGCAGAGCCTGCTGTCTTTGAGCTTCCTGAGAGAGGGACACTACCCTCGCTTAGGTGAGTGCTCCAGGTCCATGGGGCCTGATGCTCTGTCCCTGGTCTGGCTTCCGCCCATGTATACATTTGCACTCTTGATGGTGGCTTAGGATCTGCTTCCAACAAGTCTGCCAAATGTGCTCTGTAACACAGGGGGACCCTCCAAATGTGCATTGCTTTCTGTCAGTCTCAGGAAACCCATTCCCTTCCCAGCCTATCTCAGAAACGGAGAGTGGTGGCTCAGTGGCCTCTGGCTCTGGCACAGCCCCTTGATGGGTCCACAGTGGCCCCTCTGCCCTTGGCTCTGTTGGCTTCCCAACAGATGTTCCTCTTCACATGTAGTCCTAAGAACTCAATCAGTTTAAAAACAAAAAAACTAAAAAAGCAAACCATGCTCATTGCAAATTATACCAAAATGAAATGGACAGATAGAATGCAGTAATTTCCTTATCCCATAGCCCTCCCCTCCCTAAATCCTCTATCACCCCATGCCCTGCTCCTGCCCTAGTGAGCCAAAGTTCTTGCTGTCTTGATGATTTGCAACTCTCTGCATGACTCTGCCTCTTGGGTTTGTTTAATTAGAAATAGGCTGGGAAGTGCTTCCTATGCTCTGGCATGTTAATTGCTTATCAGAGAAGGAGAAGGGGTGACGGCATTTGGTGATGGAAATTTCCGCTCTCCCCATCTCAGGTTCGTCTCCATGGTTCTCTCCCACCCCTCTCCTTGCCTCCTGCGCTCTGCCTCCCTCCCTTCCTCACTCTGGTCGTTGTCACAGCCACAGAGACTCTTGGGGGCCAGAAGCAGGCCCAGGGGCCAGAATTCAAACCGAAAAGGAAAAACTGTCCCCTCTTTCACTCTATCCCTTTTCTTGTCCCTCTTCTCATATCCCAGCTGGCCCCCATGCCCATCACCCTCCAGGCTCTGAGGAGAGTCCAGAGCAGAGCTCCTTAACCACACTCAATACTCAGAGGATTATTTTCCTTTCGTTCCTTTCCCCCGTATTATTGTTATTATTTATTTTTATTTTTTACAAAACAGGAGAAAAGAGTGAATCGGGTTGGGGGAGGTGACACATTTCTCCACAAAGGTACAAAATTGCCTATAGAAAGTCAGCTTCGGAATGCCGAGCCCAGGCTGCTGAGATGAGGCGTTCCTGGGCATCCCTCTCCCAAATGTCCTTCAGATCTGGCTGGGGTCACTCCCACATTGAGGGCAGCCCCCCGAGGTGAGATGGAGTGGCCTCCTTCAGCCCTTGCCCAGGAGGCACAAGAGCAAGCAACTGAGACTGTACAGAGAAAGAGAAGAGGAAGGGGTGCAGCCCGGGGACACAGGTAGGGGACAGCCAAGCCAGGCCCAGGAGCCTCTGGGCAGAGAGAAGATGGGGAGGCAGGAGGCTCTAGCCAAAGTCCCTCCTGTTCCTTGGAGATGTTCCTCAGAATGGCAGCAGAGGTGACCCTAGGAGGTAAGGGCAACTTTTTCGAGGCTGCAGAAGCACCCCCAGGGCCACAAAGCCCCATCTGTCTTGGCCCAGCTGCCAGGCCTCAAGCACGTGGGTCCATGTCCCTTTCCTGGCAGGGCATCTGGCCCAGACTGCTTCTCTTTTGGTAAAAAGTAGTCCTAGTGATTTCTCTACTGCTGAGAACAGGCTGAGCTTCAAGAATTTTGAGACAATGGTGGCAACAGTGTCTCCCCTTCTGAGGATCTGGGCAGCTTCCTCCCTGGATTCCAGGGCAGGACGAGGGGAGCAGACACAACCCGGACAGAAGGGGCACTCCAGCCCCAGAAAGCCCAGGCTGGAGGGAGAGGCCGCCTCCCACCCACACCCTTCCTGGGTTGGCCTGTGCCAAGGTGGGCCGCTAGCCCAGCTGCCAGGAGAAGGACAGCGAGAGCCAGGATGGCAATGAGCCCAGGACGGTCCCCTAAGGCTCTGTGGCAAGAAGTGGCCTCTTTGGTCCTGGCCCATACACAAGCCAACTGGGTGTGGGCATCAGCAAAGGCCACTTGCAGGCAGGCCCAGTACTCCGTGGCCTGAAGGAGGCGGGTAATGTTGTAGCTGTGGGTTCCCCGAGGCAGGCGGGCCAGAGCTGTGGCCCCCTGGCCCCGGAGGGAGGAGGCACTGGACCAGGTGAGGTTGGTGGACACTGTGTTGGGTGGGGTGACCCAAGATAGCAGGATGTGATAGGGGTGGGTCTCCTGCACCCGGAGCTCCAGCCCCTGTCCTTCGTCCCTGCCTGGCTGGAGGAGAGCACGGCCCACAACCACACTAACCGTCTTAGTGTCAGCCCCCACCAGGTTCTGGGCCACACAGGTGTATAGCCCTGCCTCTTCTGCTGTCACCCTCCGCAGCTCCAGGGTCCCCTCGGGGTACACCCGGTACCTCCTGCCTGCATGGGCAGGTGTCAGTCGAAGCCCAGCTGGAGTGACCCAGTAGATCTCGGGTTCGGGTTCGGCCAGTGCCCGGCAATGCAGCACCATGCTCTCTCCACTGGCTACCTGGAGGCTTGGGGGGAAGCTTCGTGGGGAGATGAGGGGCAAACAGTGGTCCGTCATCTCCCGGAAGGGCACCTCACGGACCGGGAGGCGCTGGAGGTCCGGAGGCTCCGCACACAGGGTGGATTGCGGCTCGATGAAGCGGACACGGGTGCCCGTGGCATTGGCCCAGCGGATGACACAGTCACAGCGGATGGGGTTGCCGTGGAGACCTACCTCCTGCAGGTTGGGCAGGGACTCCACCGTCTGCTGGTGCAAGGCACTGAGAGCGTTGTTGTTGAGCATGAGGGTCTCCATCTGGGGCAGGTGGTGGAAGGCGCGGGGGTGGATGAAGGACAGCCGTGGGTTATTGGTGATGTCCAGCTTGGTCAGCTCGGGGAGGTTCACCAGGGCAAACTTGTCGATGGAGACCAGCTCCTCCATGTTGTTCAGTCCCAGCTCCTTAAGGTGCAGCATGTTGGCAAAGTCCCCCGGCCCTACCCGCTGGAGCGGGTTCTTGTTGAGGTCTAGGAACTTGAGCCCGGGCACCTGTTCCAGTGCCCGCCTGGGCACCCGGGCCAGCTGGTTGTCATAGAAGGAGAGGCTCTCCAGGCTTTGCAGCCCCTCCAGGGCATAGTCGGAGATCTCCCGCAGGTTCATGCCTGCTAGCACCAGGCTACGCAGGTTGGCCAGGGGCCGGAAGTTCATGTCCAGGATGGCATCTACCTTGTTGCCGCCAATCATGAGTATCTCCAAGTTGGGCAGCATTTCAAACCAGCGGCTGTCAATGGCCCTCAGGAGGTTGGAGTTGAGGTGCAGCCGCAGCAAGTTGCTGAGGCCAGAAAAGGCCCTGGGGGCGATGCGGTAGAGCTGGTTGTGGTTGAGATAGAGTTCCTGTAGGCTGGCCAGCCCTGCAAAGCTGTGGTCCTCCAGCCGGGTCAGCTGGTTCTCCTCTAGGTGCAGGCTCAGCAGCTGGGGCAGGGCATGGAAATCACAGTCTCGGGCATCCGAAAAGCTGTTCTGGGACAGGTCCAGCTCTGTGAGATTGGCCAGGTAGCCCAGCTCACTCTGGTCCACACGGACAATGCTGTTGCTCTGCAGGAGCAGGGTCTGTGTGCCTGCGGGGAGTGCCGGGGGGACTGCCGTCAGGAATAGGTCATTGCAGTCCACAGTGGTAGCCTCGCGGTAGGACGAGCGGGGCGTATACCAGGGCCGGATCTGGCAGGCACACTGAGGGGGGCAGGGAACATGCCAGGGTACCACGGGCACAGCGGCAGTGGCACCAGCCACCCAAGCTAGCAAGAGTGGGGCCACGAGAAGCCTCATGGTGGAGCTGCAGGGCAGGGGACCATTCACAAGAAGAGTCTGGAGTCCTGCTCTTTGTGTTTTGCAGGGTAAGGGTCAGCAACCCTGCCAGGGCCCAAGGAACCACCCTCCCAGGGCAGTCATTCTACACCGGGCGTCACTTCTTGCCCTCCTCAATATGCCTTCTCTTCCTTGTCCTCTGGGGCTGGGCCTGCTCAGTCATTGCCAGGCCCCATCAGGGGCAGCCCTGGAAGAAGAGGATGCAGAGTTAAGGAGGTTGCAGAGAAGCAGTATCTACCCCTCCTCCCGTGTTTGTTTGTTTGAGACAGAGTCTCATTCTGTCACCCAGGCTGGAGTGCAGCGGTGCACTCAGCTGACTGCATCCTCCGCCTCCTGGATTCAAGCGATTCTCCTGGCTCAGCCACCTGAGTAGCTGGGATTACAGGCACCTGCCACCACTCCTGGCTAATTTTTGTATTTTTAGTAGAGATGGGGGTTTCTCCATGTTGGCCAGGCTGGTCTCGAACTCCTGACCTCAAGTGATCTGCTCACCTCGGTCTCCCAAAATGCTGGGATTACAGGTGTGAGTCACCGTGCCTGGCCCCTCCCATGTTTTTTGACTCAACAAGCCAAAGGAGCTGCAGAGGTAATGGCCAGGCCTGTCCTTAAGGCTTTAGTGTCCTTTTCTATGACCTGCTCACAGAGTGAGTGACTGTGAGTCTTCAGTGAAGGAGAGGAAGGTGTATGTGTGTGTATGTGTGTGTGTACATGCACATGTGTGTTTGGGAGGGAAGGAGAGTGGATGGGCTGAAATTATTGTTATCTTCAGAGTCCTTCTGAGCCCAGAGAGATGTGAGGTAGGTTCTCTAACCTTTCTTACCTCTTTCCTCCCAGCCTCCTTGGCTCACTGGGTAAATGGAAGATAAAATGATAAGTTTCCAGAAGTTCCTCTGGCAGTGTAGGTGGGAGGTGGGTGAGGGTTGGTGGAAATAAGTACAGCTTCTAAAATCTGGGATGGGCTCCCCAGGACCCTAGAGGTGAAAGGCAGCAGACCTGACACATCCAGGCAGGCTGGGGTGTTCTGCTGCCCAGGATCTTCTGGGTGGGGATATTGCTTTGGTGTTTGCCAACTTCCCCACCCTGGAGGCAGGAGTGTTTCTCCTTTCCCAACAGCCTGGCAGTGTTGCCCAGGAGGAGGCAGTGGAGTTAAGAAGCCTGGGTCTGAGCTCCTCAGCTGTGCAGGTAAGACCTTCTGTGACCTGGCCCGGCCCCTTCACCTGGCTTCTCTTGTCACCACCCCACTTACCCGCTGCACACAAACCTTTTGGGTTGAGGTTACCGTGACATGCCACCCCTTCTGATGTCTCCTCCTCATTGTCTTCCAGACAACTCCTACTTGTTCTTCAACGCTCAACTTTAAGTTCAGTCACCACCTGCAGAAGTCTTCTCCAAAACCTCCCCACCTGGCTGACTAAGGGGCTGGCTTTATGCTCTTGCAGTACTCATGCTTCCTACTGTCACAGTTCTGACCACACCGTGGGAAAACGTCTCTAACTAGAGACCTGTCTTGCCTCTTGTGCCTGTAGTACGGGATGGGTGCCCAGTGTGTGTTGATTGTATGAATCAATCTCTGTGACTCCAGAGTTCCTTTCTTCAGGAGATTAGACATCACCCCTGCAATCAACAATGCAAGCCACTGCTGTTTCCTCCATCCTGAGCATGAGGAACCTATCCAGTTTCTCTCTCAGATGCCAGGGCCATGAGGCAAGTCCAGCCTTGGCCTAGAACCAAAGATGGAAACAAAAAGGGGCCAGACTGTGTTGCCTTCTTGAGCCTGGTCTGACTCCTGAGTGGAAGTCTGATTCCAGGTAAGTTTTTAGCTACAAGTGTCAAGGAAATGCACAAACACTTACTGAGCACCTACCATTGCTCAGGACTCTTTGAAGACTCTGAATGTCTTTTTTCATATGACTCTCATAACAGGTACATGAGATAAGCACTAATACCTCCAGTTTGCAGATTAAGAGACTGAGGTCCTGAAGAGGTTAAAGAACTTGGCTCAAGTCACATAGCTGGTGAGCAGCAAGATACAAGAATCAACCCAAGTCCAGGGGGCTGTGTGCCGTTTACACTTCACATCTGTGCTGCCAGGTCTGTCTGATCTGACCCTGCCCTGGGCCTCTGGAGGGTCTGGGATGCACTGAATGCTGCAGCTGCAGGCCCTGTGCCTGTTCTCGTCCCCTGGGGTGATGACTCCTTACCAGGCAGCTGCAGAAAGCTTGGAGCTATGTCTCCTGCCACCATCCAGGCAGGTGCCTCTCAGCGGGCCAGAGGGGCTCTTCACCTCCCTCATCCTGCTTCCAGGATGCTAGGGCTTGGGAGGGGAGCAGCTGGAGGCAGGGTCCCGTTCCCTGAGCAGGAACACAGCAAGCCTATTTACATTTGGCTACTTCCCACTTTCCTCTGCAGCTATTTCTGAAGGTGGGAAAAACAACCGCGACTTCAAAGGCACAGAGGTTTTGATAGGGGTGTGTGTGCACCGACACGTAAAACTCAGTGTGAACAAACACATGTGTACACATGCATGCATGCCTGCATACCTGTGCAAGGGGAACCCAGCTACCCAAGCCAGTGTATGGGGGTCAGGAAGCAGGGAGGGAATTTTGTGGTGGTCTAGGTGGGTGGAAAGGAAGGAGGGAACAAGCTGAGTCTCCGAGAGGTCCCTGTTGTGGAACTGGATCTATGGCCAGTAATCCTGCCACACTTACATACCAGAGACCCCTGACTGCCACCTAGACCTGCTGTGAGAGAGCAGACCTACCGGCAAATAGATCAGGACCCAAATCGCGGCCCTACCACTCACTACCCAAGTACCTGAGGCAAAGCTACTTGACTGCTCTGAGCAACCATTTCCTTCTGTATTACATGAGATTGTCATTGGAGTTAAATGAGTGTGTTGCACACAGAAAGAACTGGACAAATGTTAGCTCTCTTCCAGCTCCAGTCATCCCTCAGGGTCAGGAGGTTCTCCAGCTATAGGACTTCTTAGGGGACAATAGAAGTTGGCTCCTAGGACTCCTAGGGCTCGATAAGTTAGCAAGTGCCATGCTAGTTGGGGAGGCAGGTTCAAAAACACGAAACAACTAGGAGAGCCCAAGACATTTCCCAAGTGGAGAGAAGGGTGAGGGCTGGAGGAGGTGGAGAGGGGTCTTCAGCTGGGCCCCAGCATCTCCCTGACCTTTAGACCCTACCCGAGTCCAGTTTCCCTTCTTCATCAACACTTGGTTCTAAGCGCTGAGTCCGTGCTCAACTGCACTGAGGGGATCAAGGAACCATTTAAAACTTCATTGAAACCCTCCAGGCACTTGCCTTTCCCCTTCACCCCAGACTGCTGCCCCTTCCTTCCCTCCCCTGGTTGGGCTGGGTGGATGAGGCAGAGGTCGTGGCTCCTGGGCCGGGAGCCTGGGGCTGGGCCTCGGGATCCAGAGGCAGTGACTTGATGACTCATGTTCACACTGCACCTCTGACCCCAAGGCTTGGCAAAGGCCCAGACAAGTCCACCCCCTCACTGCTGAGCATGCAGCTCTTTCCAGGATGCAGCTCAGAGCTGCCCTCTCACCTGCCATCACCACCTAAGGCTGCCTTGCACATGGCCCGCTCATGCAGGCTGATTAGCAGTTTCTACCGGGGAGCTGCAGAGAAAGCTAATTGTCTTTCATCTGTAATCTCCAGGGGTGATCAGGAGTTCAGACTGTCACGTGTATACTTTCCCCAATTGGATTCCGAGCTTCTTGAGGCAGGGGCCATATCTTACATGCTTTTTGTGTCCCCAGAGCACCAAGTGTAGGATTGAGCATGTAGCAGGTGCTTGAGAGTTGCTATAGTGAAATGTGTAGAGAACACGCATTGCATTTAATCCCCCCAACAACCCTGTGTGTAGGCAAGAAGGGATTATTTAGCTCCATTTTGCCAGGGAGGCAACTGAGAGTCAGAAACGTTAGGTGATTCATCAGAGGTTGCACAGCTTCTATGCAGTGGGGTCAGGATTCAAACCCAGGGTCTTTGACTCTACATCCTGCCTCACCAGCCCAGCCAATGTGGATCAGCACCTGTTTTACAGGAGCAGAGGGCAAGGCTGCCTCAGTTGCAAATCCCTTCAGAGAAAACCTGAGTCCTCAGCTCCTCCACGCACCTGCCCCCTGCTGGGCCCCTCAGCTCCTGTTCCTTGACTCCTGCCTAGAACAACCCCCCTGGGGGACAGTGTGGGGAAGGACACTGTTCCTGTGTGTGTGTGTGGCTGGGCCTGGAACCACAGGGACAAACAGAGCCAGCTGCTGCACACAGACCTCAGCCTGCCTTCTGAATGGGGGCTGGGGGCTGCTTTTTGCGCAGCCAGTGACTGCTGGCCAGCTGTGGGCTTCAGGGACAGGAGACAAAAGCCCTAGAGCCGTATTCCAAGAAGCAGGGTTGGTTGCCCACTCCAAGGGCAAGTTTCTCTCTTGGAAAGGCTGGTGCTGCAAACCCTGTCAGGTCTATGTTCTCGGGGCTGTTTCTGTGGATTTAGCGGAAACTGTGGAATTAATCCACAATGCCCCTGATTAAACTAAGACCTTTGGCAAAGGTCTGAAGGAAGAGTTTTGGAGACGCTGTCACTACTTTCTCCCTTCCCTGCTTCTCAGGCCCCCGGCCCCAGCACAGCCCTAGTGCTCCTGCCTGGTATTGGTGGATGCAGAGTCTCCTCTCTCCTCTCCTCCTCCCTCCTCTCCCTGGCGGTTCCCCCCCCACCCCCCCCCCCGGGAGCTGAGGGTCCAGAGGGAGGGTGGCAGGTGGTGATCGATTGCCTGGCCTTGGCTGCTTCAGTGCCAGGACACCCTTCTCCCCACAAAGCTGCGGAGAGAGATGGGCGGCATAATTGAGTGTAGCGTTGATAAACTCCGGCCTCCTCACCAGCAGATAAGCGCTGGGTGGGAGGGATGCTGAGGGTGAGGAAGGCCAGTCCTCCATCTGCATACCTGGCCTCCAGCTCCTCCTGGGAGGTAAGCCTGGCCCCTCACTTCCACCTCCCATTTAATCACACACAACCAGAACCTCAGAGCTGGAGGAGACCTCAGCCTCAGCGTTTATCTGCTCTTCCAGAGTCTGAATTCCATAAATAACTTATGTGAAGGAGGAGTGGTGGGGCGTGAGCCTGGCTCTGCTGTTTGCTGTGTGACCTTGGGCAAAGTACTTAACCTTTCGAGCCCCAAATCCCTGAGCTGGGAATGGGGATAATGCCTGCACCCCTTCTGGAATTGCTGGGAGGAGTACGGGATGGAAGGTACATGAAGTGCCTGTTAGTTCCCTCTGTTGCTTCCCAGCATTGCAGCCTCTCCTTTCATCTTACCATACATTGGATTGGAGCAAAAGTAATTGCGGTTTTGGCCATGAATTTTAATACTAATACTAATACCTAATACTTCTCATCTCTCAACTTTTGTAATAAACTTAAAAAATATTGTTGAGGTATAACATATGTACGGGAGAATACATAAATGTCCCTGATCCCAACATGCATAGGTACAAGTACAACCACCACCCAAATCAAGACATAAACATTTCCAGCACTCCAGAAGGTTCCTACGTATGTGCCCCTTCCCAGTCAATATCCAGCCCCCACCTGGAGCTAACCACGGTCCCGACTTCTATCGCCGCCAAGCAGTTTCATCTTGAAAACCCAGAATTCCCCTTCCTTTTCCATGACAAGTTGGGACCAGGGTCTTTGGAATTAGGTTACTCTGGCATTAGGGAACTTTAAATCCACTTCATTCCTCCCCCTACTTCAAAGTGGGCTATAGCGTCTTAGAATCTCATGTTTAACCAGTGATCTCCAGGAAGAGAGGCTGATTCTTCTCTCTCTTTCTAGAGTTCCCGTATCTAAAAATTGCTCTCAGCCTTGGGGCCCAGCTCTGGCCAGCATCCTCATGGCCTGGGCCTGGGAGTGCCATGCTGCCTTGAGGGAGGATGATGTGGGTGACCTCCTGGCCCCCGTGCCCTCTAGGCCTTCTCATCACAGAGTTCTGGAGCACTAGGCAAGAGGATGGATTGGGGGTGGCCAGGAAGGAGGGGCCCAGACCTGCACTCCTAACCATCCATCCCCTGGGTCACTCTACTCGGCAGTCTCAGAGGCTCCTCCCATTCTGCTTGTCCTAAATGCAACATCTCCTCCCACTGCCTGGCTGTGCTGCATTGGTCCCATTGCCATCAGCACCACCGTCCACCAAAGGCTGGAAATGCCCGCCCTCTTCATCTGCCCTCTCCCACCTCACACCCCCTACCAAAATGCTCACACCTACCTTCTCTTTTCACTTCTGGCCTTGTCCTGTACGGTGGCCTCTTTTGGGCTTTCCTGCTCACCTGAGAGAGCCACACTTCCCCTGACTGCCTCTCATTCCCAGACACACCACACCCTGGCTATTTTTCCTTCCACACCTTGGGCCTCTCACTGTGCCTGCCGTGCCCTTTCCCAACTTCAACTATTCAACTCCTCTTCAGCCATGAAAACCCATCCCAAATGCCACCTCCCCTGTGACGCTTTCCCTTAGAGAAGAGTGGTTCCTCCCACAGCTGCCCCCGAGACTCTCTGAACAAACCACAGTGGCAACTTCCTCACTGTTAGGCCATGAGTCTGTCTTCCCAACCAGACTGAGAGCTCCTCGAGGAAAGGATGGTTTGTTACGGATTTTTGTGTCCCTAGAGCCTAGTACCGTGCACTTTCCCTTGCAGGACTGAGGGGTGCTCTGCCGTGAACTGTGAATCACAACCCATTAGTAGGTCATGAAAACAATTTAACGTGGGTCACGATCTACATTAAAAAAATGAATAGAAAATATCATACTGCATTGTATGCGGCCAGACTAAGCATTGTTTTGAGATGCTGCCCCCTATTTTATACACACGCATTTGTGCACTGGGACATGATACAAGGCTTTTTCTTTTTTCTTTTTCTTTTTTTTTTTGCCTAGGGCTGTAGCTATAAAAGCTTGAAAACCATTACTCTGAGAATCTCTCTGTTGGGAAAATGAGTCCCTTCAACTCTAGTTGTTGCCACTGGGATGCTAACAGAAAGCAAAGTCTCAGAGGAAAGATGTGGCATTCCTGAGTGTCTTCCATGTACCAGGACTTCTATTTGCTAGCCACTTTATGTTCCTCATCCCATCCTTCTGTGAGGGACATACTTTTCAGATGAGAAACGTAAGCTCCGCGAAGCTAAGGGGCCGGACTGAGGTCCCACAGCGAGAGTGTGGAGGAGCCAGGATCCGAACCCCATCGCCAGCCCTTGCCAGTTCCATGATTCCGGTGCCAGCGCTCGCCTGACCTCCAGGGCTGTCATGGTGGGAAGGGACTGGAGGGCATCTGCTGGGCAAAGGTGAGGCTTCTTTGTTCATACTTGCCCTCCCCTCGTCTCTGGAATGAGAGGGGTCAGGGTTCCAGGAAACCCCCCTTGTTGGGCCTGGGAGGGGAGGGACTGTCCCCAGGCAGGAATCTCTGTCTTCCCAGGTCTCCTGGCTGGCCCAAGCAGAGAGTGTTAGAGCTCTGCTGCCTGGAAGGCAGCCTACCTCATTATTTCTTAATTAGGAGTGGAAGGTGCCAGTAGGTAGCACAGAGTCATTGCTGTCTGCGTGCACTGCACCAAAAAAGGCTGCAGGGGAGCCGAGCCAGCCTGTTGGGGGCACGGAGGCAGCTCCAGGCTGCATCTCACTGCCGCTTGCTGCCAGTCTTTTGCTGATCCTCAGGGAAAACTTTTCTGACCCCCTGCACCCATCTCCTGGGCTCCCATGATGCCCTAGTGTGCCTCCATCCTAAACTGGCTGGCTTGCTGTCTCCCCGACCAGACTGTGAGCTCCTCTGAGGCAGGAACTGTGCTTCAAGTTGCCAGTTCTTCCAACAGTCTGGACACAGTGGTAGCTCAGAGAATATCCGGAGAAGGAAAGAAAGAAAGAGGGAGGGAGGGAAGAAAAGAAAAGCAAGGCAGGCAAGGCAAGTGGGGAGGGAGGGGGCTGGCTATTTCAGAGCTCAGGTGGCTCCATTGCCTATGGGGTGGGCAGTGTCTGGGCTCAGACCCCCTGCCTCCTTCCTTCCTGACAGGAAAGAGACAAACATCATCCCAGAGCCTGTCTTCCCTGGGCAATACCCGGGCCACTCCAGACATGGCGTCTTTAGCCCTTCCTTGGTCACTGGCCCCCAGGTGAAGAGAGCATTTTTCTCTGACTCAAGTTCTTGCCTCTGGATTTGCCAAGCTCCTATGACAGTCTTCGCCCTTCTGAAGCTCTCTCAGGCTCCCCTTCCAGAAATCCCGCAGGTTCCACCGACCTCTCTGAGAGCACAGGCGAGTGGTTGAACGGTGGGCTTTAGAGACGGCGCGGCACCAGAGTCCTGTACTGGCTGTGTGATCCTGAACCTCCTCACTGAGATTCTCATCTGCAAGATGGAGACAGACCTGCCTCATAGCGAGGGGGAATCTGAAAAAGATGTCTAGAGAGTGCCCGGTGCTCATTAGAGTGTCCTGCCCTTTTTATCCACTTCGATTTGTTGGAGGCACATTTCCCTGGGGGCGCTTCGAGACCATCTTTGTACTAGGCCAGCCTGATGCTGGCCTATCAGGGTACTTGGTCTCTAAGGCAGGCAACCTCTTCCTTGGAACCTTCCCAGTGCAGGTGACACTCCTTCCTAACGGAGCTGCCCTGTCCGATGTCAACTATAAGCACTCCCTGCAGTCTCCAACCGGGGTCCTAGTTCTAGTCTTCCGGACAGCTCTAGGACTCAGTTCATTTAAAGATCATTGGTGTTGGACACAACTCTCACCCAATAAACAACTCAGCACCAGCTCCTCCTGGCTTAGGGGAGCAGCTCCTCTGCTTCCCCACATGCTCTCCAGAAGGGTCAAGAGCGCCCCTCCCAGAAGAGTTCTAAATGTCCCAGCTGATGGCCTCCCATAGACATTCCATGCTGGCCACAGTTGCAGGCCTCAGATGGGCAGCCAAGCCCAGTGCTGACCCATGAGCTTCTCCACCTCTCTGCGTCAGGAGTCAGGTGGGGGTGCTGAACAGACCCTGTAGCATGGCTCCTCTAGCAGTCTGGGCCCCAGGACATCCCTTTAGCCCCAGTGGATCCCTGGGACAGAGGCAAGGGCGGGGGGAAGGGGAGGGAAGACCCAAGAGCAATACAAGTGATAGTCTCTCCTGTCCCATGCCTTCACACATGCAGGGACCTTGCCACAAGTCCCCTTCCTCACCTGCATATCTGGGGAATTCCTTTCCATCTCTGAAGTCATAGTTTATGCTGCACCCCTATGTGGTCTTTCCTGACGACCAGGCTCTACCACCAACTCAAAATAATCAGTCCCTTGCTCCTTCCTCCACCCTCAAGGATCCACATCCACAAAGAAAATGTGCTACATATACACTGATATGGTTTGGCTGTGTCCCCACCCAAATCGCCTCTTGAATTGTACTCCCATAATTCCCGCGTGTTGTGGGAGGGAGATAATTTGAATCATGGGGGCAGTTTCCCCCATACTATTGTTGTGGTAGTGAATAAGTCTCACAAGATCTGATGGTTTTATCAGGGATTTCTGCTTTTGCATCTTCCTCATTTTCTCTTGCCGCCACCATGTAAGAAGTGCCTTTCACCTCCTGCCATGATTCTGAGGCCTCCCCAGCCATGTGGAACTATAAGTCCAATTAAACCTCTTTTTCTTCCCGGTCTCAGATATGTCTTTATCAGCAGTGTGAAAACAGACTAATACATGCACCATGGAATACTACACAGGCATCAAAAGAACATGGCCTTTGCAGCAGTGTAGGTGGAGCTGGAGGCCATCGTCCTAAGCAAATTCACGTAGGAACAGAAAACCAAATACCACATCTTCTCATTTATAAGTGGGAGTTAAGTATTGAGCACACATGGACATAAATATAGGACCAGCAGACACTGTGGACTACTAGAGGGTGTGTGGGGGGGTTAAAAACCTATATATCAGGTATATGCTCACTACCAGGGTGACAGGAGCCGTACTCCAAACCCCAGCATCATGCAATTTTCCTCAGTAACAAATCTGCACATGGACCCCCTATACATAAAATAAAAATTGAAATAAAAATCCACATCAAATACAATGCTCATCTTCTGTCTCTCAGACTGCAAGCTGCTCGAGCACGGGGACAGTGGCTTTATGGCCCTGGATGAACAGAGGGAAGCACCACTGCTTTCGAGGTGAATGAGGCCTTAGTTAAGGAGGTTTGGGTTTCCTGCCTCCAAGTGTCAGTGGTACTGAGGAAAGGACCCTCAGGGAAGGGTCGGGTGGGGGTGGGTGAGGCCTGGTCGGAGGGGCTGGGCTCTGGCGGCTGAGGAGACAGGGAGGCAGAGAATGGGGAGCAGCCCAGTTAAACATGGAGAAAGGCCAAGCCCCTTCTAACGGAAAAGGAAAATAAAATCAGAATGAAAATTGATGAGGCGGAGAGAAAAAGAGACTCATTTCATCAGCGGGTTTGCCAGATGAAGCTCTAGATAAGTCACGCCGCGGAAGGAGTCCTGGTCTCGGGGGCGCTGCCTGCTCCCTGTCAGCTGTCCAGGCAGCCCGGAGATAAATGGCTGCAGCTGAGGCCCGGGTTTGTCTTTCCTCCCCACTAACCGCAAGACAATGGCCTGTCCGTCCTGGCCACCTCCTCCAATGCCCTGGCCATTCCCTTCCCCAGGACCTCTCCTGTGCCCCTCCCCAGTCCCACAGGCCTCTCCCTGGGCAGTCCCTCTGCACTCCCCCTTGCCAGGGCAGGCCGGTGGACAGTGTTTCTCAGAGGCTGCTTCCTGCCTTCCACTCCTTACCCATCTCCAAAGCCAGATGGGGGAAGCAGGGCTGGTAGATGCAGCATGGGACAGGACTGGCTCTACTCCTGGCCTGGGGACAGACTTTGGATGGTGTCTTCTTCCTTCTCTAGGTCTTGGGTTTCTCATCTGCAAAATGAGGGAGTTGGGCTAGAGCAGCGGTTCTCATACTGTAGTCCCCGGACCAGTAGTCTACGCATCACCTGGAAACTTGCTAGAAGTGCGAGTTCCTTGGCCCACCCAAGACCTCCAGAATCAGAAACTCTGAGGGTGGGCCCTAGTCTAGTCACCTGTGTTTGAACAAGCTCTGCAGGTGGTTCTGATGCATGCTGAAGTTTGAGGATTGCTGGCTAGCTCATCTCTAACCTCCTCTCCAGCTCAGATTAGAAGTCTACAAACCAAGAAGAGTGATACCTAGAGTGTTCTATATATATATATATATATATATATATATATATATATATATATATATGAAGAGCTGCTTATACCCTGACAGATTAGGTTGGGTTTTCAAGACTCCCCTCACCTCCTCTGTCCTGGCCACAAGGGAACTCTTATCCATTGAGCATGAAATAGATCCCTGACCTTATCCCAGGCACTGTAAGTATGTGAGGGCTGCAAATACAAAGTTATGAGGAGGGCAGGTGGGGATTCACAGGTTAAAAAGAAAACTAAACCAGTGTACCAGAGGATGATAAAAGTTGTCACAGAGCAAGGGCAGCAGGGCACAAGCTAGGGGAGACAGCATGATTCTACCTCATGTAGGAAGTTAGACAAACATTCAGAGGAATTTACTAAAAAATCACTGTACACTAAAAATGGCTGAATTTGATGGTATGCAAATTAAACTTCAATAAAGCCATTGAAAAATTCACAGGGGTAGTGTTGCTGGGAATCCATAGGCCAGTAATGCATAGATAGGAGACACTAGGAGCAAAGGTCCCAAGATTCAAACATATGAAGTGAGTTCCAAGCAGTGAGTGGCTCCCCGTGGGTCTTGAGAGTGTGGGTGATGTGATGAAGATGTTGGAGCAGCAAGCCAGAGGCAGAATGGTCTGGACACAATACCCAGGCAGAGGCCAGCCAAAGGAGGCATATAAGGCAGTAACCAGCTGGGAGCAGTGGCTCATGCCTGTAATCTCAGTGCTTTGGGAGGCCAAGGGAGGCTCATTTGAGTCCAGGAGTTTGAGACCAGCCTGGCCAACACAGTGAAACCCTGTCTCTACCAAAAAACAAACAAACAAACAAAACACCTATGTGGGTGTGGTGGCTCATACCTGTAGTTCTAGCTACTTGGGAGGCTGGGGTGAGAGAATCGCTTGAGCCCAGGAGTTCAAGCCTGCAGTGAGCTATGACTGCACAACTGAACTACAGCCTTGGCAACAGAGCAAGACCCTGTCTCTAACAATAAAAGCAAACTTAAACCCAAACAAACAAAAGGCAATAGCTACAACAGCCATCAATAATAATAGGCTGTTCAGATCAAATGCACCTTGCAATTAAAATTCTTCCATATTGGCCGGGTGTGGTGGCTCACACCTGTAATCCCAGCACTTTGGGAGGCCAAGGTGGGCAGATCACTTGAGATTAGGAGTTTGAGACCAGCCTGGCAACAAGGTGAAACCCCGACTCAATTAAAAATACAAAAATTAGTGGGCCTGGTGGCATGCACCTGTAATCCCAGCTTCTCAGGAGGCTGAGGCAAGAGAATCACTTGAACCCAGGGGGTGGAGGTTGCAGTGAGCTGAGATCATGCCGCTGCACCCCAGCCTGGGTGACAGAGTGAGACTCTGTCTCAAAAAAAAAAAAAAAAAAATTCGCCACGCGCAGTGGCCCACACCTGTAATCCCAGCACTTTGGGAGGCCGAGGCGGGCGGATCACAAGGTCAGGAGATGGAGACCATCCTGACTAACACGGTAAAACCCCGTCTCTACTAAAAATACAAAAAAAAATTAGCCAGGCGTGGTGGCGGGCGCCTGAAGTCCTAGCTACATGGGAGGCTGAGGCAGGAGAATGGTGTGAACCCGGGAGGTGGAGCTTGCAGTGAGTCGAGACCACATCACTGCACTCCAGCCTGGGCGACAGAGCGAGACTCTGTCTCCAAAAAAAAAAAAAAATTCTTCTGTATTCACAATCCTATGTTGCTATGGTCTGAATATATCCCACAAAATCCATGTATTGGAAACTTATTCCCCAGTGCAACAGTGTTGGGAGGTGGGGCCTTTTGGGACGTGTTTAGGTCATGAAGAAATAAATTACTGTTTTAAAAGGGCTTGACAGAGAGAATTTTTTTTTTTTTTGGTCTGTCTACCTTCTGCCATGTGAGGAAACAGCATTCGAGGCACCATCTTGAAAGCAGACAGCAGCCTTCACCAGATGCTGGCACCTTGTCTTGGACTTCCCAGCCTCCAGAACTGTAAGAAATAAATTTCTATTCTTTATGAATTACCCATTCTGTGGTATTCTGTTATAGCAGCACAAATGGACTACGATCTATGTGATTCTCACGGTAGCCCTCTGAAGTCAAAGGGGCCATTATCCTCATTTTAGTGGAAAGAAGATAAGTGACTTGTCCAAGATCACACCTAAACAAGTAATGAGGCTGAGGCCAGAAGATACAGTATGCTTCCAAGTCCAGTCTTTATTTTTCCAGTGAGAGGGCAATGATAATAATGGTAGTCATTGACTGAGCACTGATTAGTAGCCAGGCTTTGGGCTAGGTGCCTCACCAGAGTGATTGTGTTGAATGCTCACAGTAAGAGCGTGATGTGGAAATTACTAGCCCCACTTCTCAGATGTGAGAAGTAAGGTACCAAGCCCAGAACATTCAGTTGGTAAAGCCAGGACTCAAACTTGCTTCTGGCTGGCCCTAACACCTGTGCTCTAACCCCGATCCCACATCACCCTCTCCAGTCCCCGCTGCCCAGCTCTCCTTCCACTTCCTCAAGCCTGGAATAGAATGAGGAGATTTCCAGTTGACTTATTCAAGCTCCGTTGGGCCTGGGCCAACCCAAGAGAAAGAAACTGGCCCCTGGCCTAAGCTCGGCAGCCCTTCTTCAAGAGAACGCCCTTTCCAATCTGGCAGAGGCTTCCTCTCCTCCACACCCATCCACGCCTTCCAAGCCCAGTGTACCTGCTGCAGGACCAGCGGCTCCCAGAGCCCCCAAGCCTGTGGAAGGAAATGCTTCCATCTGTGATCAATAACAGGCATAATTCAATGACTGCGGCAAGTACAAAAGAGTGTAGGTTAAATCAATATTTAGAAGCTTTGAAATTAAACTAATTAAGAGCAAGCCTTAATGATTTTTACTGTCTGGGAATAAAAAAGACAAAAAGCCCACCTATATTTCATGATTTTACTTTAGTAGCTTGTAATAATTTGGGAAGAGCAGAAAATGAAAAGTGCTCTCAGCCAGCCCTATGTCCTGAATTGCAGGGGAGGGGAGCACCTGGTCCTTGGGAATAGAAGACGTGGAGGAGAGAATGAATGGGATGGAGCCCGCTGTGCAAACAGCATGTTGTAAAAGGCCCTTGGCTTGGAAGTCAGGGACTGTTATGGGTTGAAGTGTGTTCCTCAAAAAGATATAGTGAAGTCCTAACCCCCAGTACCTATAAACATGACCTTATTTGGAAATAGGGTCTGAAGATGTAATCATCTGATGATGAGGCTGTTATGGAAGGCCCTAATTCAATATGACTGGTATCCTTATAAGAAAAAAAAGCCATGTGAAGACAGAGGCACACAGGAAGGTGCCATGTGCCACGGAGACAGATGGAAGTGCTACAGCTGTGTGCCAAGGAACACCACCAATTGATGGCCACCACCAGAAAGCAGGAAGAGGCAAGAAAGAATCCTCCTCTACAGGTTTCAGAGCGAGGATGGCCCTGCCGACACCTTGATTTTGAACCTCCAGCCTCCAAATCTACAAGACAATATGTTTATGTTGTTTTAAGCCATCCAGTAACATAGGCATCCTGAGTTCTAGTTCCTGCTCTGCTACTTACTAACTGTGCAAGCTTGGGCAAGATGCTTTATTTCTATGAGCCTCAGTTTTCTCTACTGAAAAATGGGACTAAGACTAGTACTATCCCTTTTTTACAGAGACGTACAGCTCAAATGAAAATATGAGTGTGAAATATGCATGGTGAGCTGAGAAGTGCTATACAGATATGACCTAGGCTCACTGCATAGTGGAAAAAATCTGGGAAGGGATTCAGGAGCTATTGGTCAGGTGGGCAGGAAGTTTCCTGCCTACTCACAGGACCATTCTAAAGATCCGATCAGATCACAGGTGTGAGTTCACTCTGCTTTGTTAGAGATATATGCATAAAAGATGTTTTTGTTGTTCTCAACAAGGATCTTATTTGCTGACTACTGAACCCTAGTTTTCTCATCTGTAAAATAAAAGCGTTGGACAATATTATTTTAAGGGTATTTTCCAGCATTATTCTCTGGGCTTATATATATTTACATATAAGTAAATATTAATATATAAATATTTTAAATGTAATGTGTCTTGGCAGCCCCAACCTTGTTCTCATCCTTAAACCTCTCTCCGCAGCCCAGTACAATTGAGAGGGTGTCATCCTAGCTCATGGAGAGAGGTCAGGACTACTCTGGGGCTTTGCTCACCTCTGCTCCCTGCTGCAGGGTTTAAGGGAGAGAGAACCACAGCAGTTGTCCAGTCCTCTCTTGAGTGTACCAGGCATGAAGGGAACAGGAAACCATGCAGGCAGCAAATAAAATCTCTATCGATCACGAGATGGCTGGTATCCCAAACCCGGCTGGCTCCCAGAACCGTTCATCTTAAATAAATGTTCCTAATGACCCACTCATACTTAACACCAGAGCTCTGTCTTAAAGTGCAGTGGAAAAGGGCAGCTGAGCAAGGAGCTGCTGCTGCTCTGCTGAGCCTCTTTCTTGGCTGCAAAGGTAGAAGGTTCTCAGGTGGTCTCAGAATTTTGGAAGGAGCTGCACCTTGCAGCAGTGACAATCCCAAATGGAAGGACCAACCTTCCTGCCGTGTAACAACCAACATTCTTCCAGGACGAGCATCGCTGCAGGGAATGAGCATCTGTTGGCACATCGCCCTCACAGGGACAGGCAACAGCAGCAGCATCACCAGGAATATCAACTCATTATCACAATGCCATCGTGAGATTTACCTCCACCATCACTATGGTCAGCACACCTGCAGCCGGCCATCTCTGTTAATGTCACCAGCCCCATCTTTGCCATATGAATCCCCTGCTCGCTGCCATGACCACACTCACTTAATACCTTCCACGAGCATCGTCATCTCCTCCAGCCACTGTCACAATCCTGGTCATCATAGCTACCCTGATCACCATCAGAACATGCGTATGGCCTCATTGCTGTGATGCATACAGAACCTGAAACAGACGCGGCTTCTGTAATTGGTAAATACACATTGGATAATGAGATCCCCCAATAATGCTAACATGAAAATAAGTGGATTCACATGCACACAGAGGGGCACACTAAAAGAAGGATGATCATGGACTTAAAAATGACAATCATTTGCATCCCGTTATCTCTGTTTTTCAACTCTGGCTGCACCATAGAATTACATGGGGATCTTTTAAAATATACTAATGCTGGCCAGGCACAGTGGCTCGTGCCCGTAATCCCAATACTTTGGAAGGCCAAGGCGGGAGGTTTGCTTGAGCCCAGGAGTTTGAGACCAGCCTGGGCAACATAGTGATCTGAAAAACTTAGGGGCATCCGCACAGAGCAGAGCTGGCCAACTGGTCTTGCTGTGGGCAGTGGGCTACAAGGTGCATGCCTGTAGTCCTAGCTACTCAGGAGGCTGAGACAGGAGGATCCCTTGAGCCCAGGAGGTCAAGGCTGCAGTAAGCCATGATCGCATGACTGCACTCCAGCCTGGGAGACAGAGGGTGACTCTGTCTTTTAGAATAAATAAAATAAAATATATTGATGCCTACCTCCCACTCTAGACCAATTAAATCAATCTCTGAGTAGGGTCCACACACGGTGTTAAAAAAAACTTCCCAGGATTTCTTTGTAAATTTTATGTCAAAAGAAAAACATTGTAAGCAAAAATTGAACCCCATAGCTGTTGATACTGAAATATTTAGGGAAAAGTGTACTGATGTCTGCAATTTGCTTTGAAATGCACCAAAATTAAGATGGATTGATAGATAGAGGAATGGATAGTTGGAGAGAGAGGTGATAAGGCAAGTCTAATAATAAGGTTAATGGTAGAGTCTAGGTGGTGGGTAGATGATTGCTCACTGTAAAATTCCCTTTACTGTGCGGTATGTTGGAATTTTTCATAATAAAGTATTGGGGGGAAAATCCCCAAATGGTTTGAATGTGAAGCCAGGACTGAGAACTATTACTTCTGAAGGAAAAATCCATAAAGCAAATGAGCTTCTTTCCTCTGCCGTCCACATGTGAAAGAACATCCCTACTTTCTCATCAAACCAATCAGATCTAGCCCAATGCTTTCTAGCCCAATGCTTCCCAGCCCTTCTCAAGCCAGGGCACATATAGATGAGTGTATTTGTACAGTGCACCAGGGGAGAGGGTGGTGGCTGCTGGCAGCCAGAGGGAGCGGCTCAGGGAGACGCTTGGTTGCCCCAGGCCCCACAGGGCTGCCCTGAGTGCCAAGGGCTGTGCCTGGAGTCCACTGTCCACAGCCAGACCAGCTGACCAGCTCTGCTCTGTGCAGATGCCCCTGAGTCTCCCAGTTCTAAACCACAGCTCAGCATTCTTAGCAAGGATTAAATCCTTTCCCAGACCAGAGTCTGCCTATTGCAGCACGTGACGTGTGTGTGTGTGTGTGTGTGTGTGTGTGTGTGTGTGTGTGTGTGTGTTTGGGGGCAGTCGCTGAGAGGGTGGTAGAGAGGACTCCTCTGCGGGAAGGCCCCGACCCCCGGGCCTCATCTGTATGCTCCTCCACACCCTGCTCACCCTGTGGGGGAGTGCCATGGCAACACCGTGCTCTTTAAACACAGGAGTTTGTGCTCCCATCGCAAAGCAGCATTAGGCAATTTAATTAAGGAGCTGGCAGCAGACAAACTTTGTGAGTTAAAGGCATTTTATTAAATCCCATTGTATTATGCAGCTCAATTCCCCCAGGAGCTGCGGAGCTGGGGGAGGACAGAGGAGAATGTACTAGGGTTTTCTTTTCCTTTCCTTGCTTTTCTTCTGGTCTCCCTCCCGCCTCGTGAAAGCATTCACTGAGCGTAGGGGGACCCCAACAGTGATTGCCTGCTCTCACCCACCCACCCCCCGCCCCGAACATCAGGCCTTGGCATGAGGCCTGCAGGCAGAGGCCTGGGGAATATAATCACCAGCACTGATCTCACGCACTACTGTTCGCAGAGCCAGAGCGCTGTCATGGTGATCTGGGGCCAGGCCTCCGACCTGCTTTAGTGTTCACAACAGGACTCGGCTCTGTGATTTTGTGCACCATTTCATTGAATCCCCCCGCACCGTTGGAGTCAGAACTACTGGCACCCTTATTTTACAGGCAAGGAAACTGAGGCTTACAGATGTGAAGTAACTTGCCCAAGGTCTTCCTTTTTTTTTTTTTTTTTTTTTTTTTTTGAGACGGAGTCTCGCTCTGTCGCCCAGGCTGGAGTGCAGTGGTGCGATCTCGGTTCACTGCAACCTCCGCCCTCTAGGTTTAAGCAATTCTCTGCCTCAGCCTCCGGAGTAGCTGAGATTACAGGCATGTGCCACCACACCCGGCTAATTTTTTGTATTTTTAGTAGAGATGGGGTTTCACCATCTTGGCCAGGCTGGTCTTGAACTCCTGACCTCGTGATCCACCCACCTCGGCCTCCCAAAGTGCTGGGATTACAGGCGTGAGCCACCGCGCCCGGCCAGGTCTTCTAAGTAGTACATAGCGAGGAAGCAATCCTAGACTTGCCAAGAGGCCATGTGGAGATCTTTAGGGCCCCATGATGCCTAATCTGTGCCAAGTGAAGCAGGGCTCAGGGCTTCAGGGCTTTCAGTGAAATCCCAGACCAAAGAAGCTGTTCATCTGCCTGGCTAGTGGGACGCCACCCCCAGGCTCCTGCTCCCAGGCTGGGGAAGGGTTTTGGGGGCTCCGTGAGCCTGCTGAATGACCCTGCCCTGAGATGGCCATCGCCTGGCAGGGCAGCCTCAGCTCCCACCTTTGAAAGTCTTTCCCCTGTGAGCAAGTGGTGGCACGGCCCCCTGGGTAGCTCTGGAGAGGGCGATAGGCCTCTAGGAGGCTCCTGGGCCATAAGGGCTCTCTCAACCTCCCTAGCTGGTCAGCCTGGCTTGATGGAGAGAACCCAGGCTTAGCAGCCCAGAGCTGTGCATTCCAGTGCCAGGTCCCCACTGAGCAAGGGGTGACACGTCTTTTACTCTACAAAGATTCATTGAGCCCAATCCTGTGTACAGGATCACAGAGATGAATAAGACAAGGTGCTGCCCTCCAGACATGTACAGAGAAACATCCTCCTGGGCTCAGTTTCCTCAATTCTAAAATGGGAGTAATAGCCGGGCATGGTGGCTCATGCCTGTAATCCCAGCACTTCGGGAGGCCCAGTTGGGAGGATCACTTGAGGCCAGGAGTTCAAGACCAGCCTGGGCAACAAGTGAGACCCCCGTCTCTATAACAACTCTTTTTAAAAACATTAGCCTGTTGTGGTGGTGCACACTTGTAGTCCAAGCTACTTGAGAGGCTAAGGCAGGAGGATTGCTTGAGCCCAGGAGGTGAGGCTATAGTGAGCTAAGAATGCACCATCGCACTCCAAGCTTGGGTGACAGAAGGCACTGTCTCTAAAGTAAGTAAATAAATAAATATAATTTAGTAATGACATATGCCTTGTATAGCTAAAATAGATGCAATACAATTAGCTAATTTCATTAAGGGCTTACTCTCTGCCAGGCACTTGCCATTCACTATCTCTTTTAATCCTCATAAAACTCTATTATATTATTATCCCCATTGTGCAGATGAGAAAACTGAGGTTAAAAGAAGTTAAGCCTCCTGCCCAAGATCATACAGCTGGTAAGAAGCAAGAATCCATGCTCTTAACAAATCATATTATGATGTTACACACATACATACACATGTGTATATATTATATAATTATATATATTAACAACAGCTTTGAAATATAATTCATATACCATAAATTCACAATCACTTCATATTTGAAAAGTACATTAAATAGCTGGATTTGCCATGGTCTTAGTCCATTTGGGCAGCTATAACAAAATATTATAAACCAGGTAGCTTATAAACAACAGAAATTTATTGTTCACGGTTCTGGAGGCTGGGAAGTCCAAGATCAAGGAGCTGGCAGATTTGGTGTCTGGTGAAGGCCCGCTTCCTGGTTGATGGATGGAGGGCCATCTTCTCACTGTGTCCTCACATGGCAGGAAGGGAGAGGGAGCTCTCTGGGGTCTCTTTTATAAGGACATTAATCCCACTCAGGTGGGCTCCACCCTCATGAACCCACCTCCCAAAGGCCCTGCCCTGTAACATCATCACACTGAGGGGTTAAGATTCAACACAGAAACTTTGGGGAGACACAAACATTCAGACCATAGAGGCCACCAAACAAGGATGCGTTATTATTATCAGATAGAAGAAACAGTTTTCTGAAAGTGGGACTTCTCCCCCTCCTGGAAGGGCGTTCAGGGGCTGTAGCAAACGGAGCCTGTAGAACAGGCTGTGCAGCTCCTTCCGAGGAGACGGTGAGGCCTGGCTCCTCTCTCCCTTCCCCACCTCTTTTCTTGACTCTCCTGTCTCTTCTCTACCCCTTCCCCATGCTTGCTTTCCATCCCTCACCATCTTTTCTCACCCCATGAGGCCCTGAGGTTTCCATGAGGTTCTGGGATCTCCTCTACTCATCTCTACTCCCTTGTCCCACTGGCAGAGACTGAGCAACAGCTGCGGCCACTAGGTGACACCTTCAGAAGCCCCCAGATGGATGGTCATGTGTGTGGGGCAGGCTAGGGAGGACAGAGCTGGTTGCAGGGGAAGCAAAAAGGCTAACTCAAGACCACACAGTTCCACATCATTACCGCCCAAGTCTCCCAGGAAAACAGCAGCATTTGAGGGTTTGGCATTAAGAGAGTTAATGTGGATCTAAATCCAGGAGTTCTAATAACAGCTCTAGCACTTACCAGGGTTAAAAAAGAAAAAAAAAAAACAAAAAACATCCTGACAAATAGAGCCAGGGAAGGCCATGAAGAGAGGGTTCTCATGCCTGGATGCCTGATAACAAAAACTATCAAAAAGATTGCAAAAACCACAATCTTGCACAAAGACCATTGAAACCTTACACAAAAAATATTTCTGCAAGGACATCTGTCCACAGCTGGCTATCCAACCTCAGACTGGTATCACCCTTGTTATTGATCTTTGTAGCCTAGGATAATTATTTCAAAACAATTATGTAATCCTCCTCATCTTTTCTTTTAAAAATCTTTGTCTTCTTTTACCTTCCTGAATACACACATGTAGTTTACTATGGCATGCGGATTCCCAGTGCAATGCTCTATTCCAAAATAAGTATCTTTTTCTTTTAGAGAGCCTCTCTGTTCATTGTTTAGGTTGACACCAGCTATAGGACAACCTCACTGACCCCAGTTTCTTTTCATCTATGAAATGGGGATAAAAATATCTGCCTTGAATTTTAATAGGCACCACTTATTGAATGTTAACTATGTGTTGGGCCTTTCACAAAGCTTTAAAAAAATTTTAATCCACACAACAACCCTACGAGAGTAGTATTATATTTACTGATGGTGAAATGGAGGCTCAGAGAAGTTAAGCAACTGATCTGAGGTCACACAGCTAGTACATGTATTAACAAAAGCCACAATGTAAGTCTAGCTCTGTGTGATGCTGAAGCTGTCACTTTTCACCACCACACCAACTACCTGGCTGTGAGAGAGCCTATGGGATGTTGCATTTGAAAGTGTTTGTAAGTGCAAAACTCCAGAACAACTAAAGCAGGGGTCTTCCCCCACCCCTTCACATGGCTCTACTATAGCTCAGCTGGTTTTCTCCCAGTGAGGTAAGAACAAGGGCCAAACCCACTCTCCAATGCTGCAGGAGCTATGCACCCTCCTCTCTGCAGCCAGGGCTGCAGGTGTGGAAGAGTGTGTGTGTTGTGTATCTGTGCACGTGAGTGCATGTGTGTGTTAGGGGAGGTGGCAGGCAGAGGGTGCAGTGGCGGACCAGGTAAAGCAGCTTGGAGGGGAGCAGATTTGGAGGCTGTATTAGCCAGTGCTCTTGCTCTCCTGGGCACAAGGCCCAGATGGTGCCAGCTCATTTTCACAGCCATTTTCCCAGGGAATTAACAGGGGGAACATTCTCTCCTGTAATAATGATAAAAATAATAATAATTAACATGGCTGTAACTGACATTTCTCTAGCACCTCTCTCCCCAGACCTCAAAACTCTGGGCAAACAGCGAATCTACTGGCTTTATAGTCACATCCCTGGGACTGGGAAGCCTTAGGTGTTGCCAGATTTTCTGTCTTCTCCAGCTTGGAGACAGGTGCAGGTGTACATGGGACTGACCTGTGCCAGGAGCTACTCTTTGAATGCCACTGGCAGAGGGGTGAAATGACCCCAGGCAGCCTGCCTCCCGGCTCTGCGCTCCCATCAGCCCTCACATTTGGGTTCATCCTGTGCCCAGGAGTAGCAGGGTAGGCAAAAAGGTGCCAGCTCTCTTTGCCAAACTTTCAAACAGTCCCCAATCCACCCTCTATGCTCCACCACACAGCTGGCTCTGCCTCAGGAAGAACTGCCCCGGCCTCTGCAGCCAGCAGGGACCATGTCCGGCAGGACTCATCCCTACACGGGATAGCTGATGGCTTTCTCTGGTCCCAGCCAGAAGTCATTACCCACACAATGTCTAGTTTAAACAAGTGATTAGGCAGCTCTATTAAGAGCACACGTGCTTCCTGCCAGGGAGGAACATGAACCTGCAGAGGTAGCTGAGGGTGAGAGGGAGGAGGACATCAGGGTCTTGCAGCAACGGGCTCTTCTACAAAGCATTTTCCAGCCCATCCCCTGGAAGGTGCAGCACCTAAGTGTTTCACAAGCCAGCATCCTGAGGGGCTCAGAGCCTGATAGACTGTTTTTCGGACATGGAGTCAAATCCTGATTGTCGGGCAGCCCACCCACACCATGACGGACATGAAGAACCCTGAGTGATTTAAACAGACAGATAACCCAAAGCTCTCACTTTGGTCAGTGCTTCAACCTCCCCACACATGGGGTTGCCAACACACTCTTCTAAAACAATTACTTCATCTGAGTTACATTTATTTCCTTTGTTTTCTCCAGGAGCTTACGAACAGAGAAGGGGTCAGAAAAGGAGACATCGTCAGAAACTATGTATTTTATAAATGTGTTCCCCCAGCATCTCCAGAGAGAAAGCCTTCTTAATCTGAAGTCCTCAGTTGGACTGCAGAGTCTGGGAATTATCTGAAATTGCATGCAAACATGTTTGTTTGTGAATGTGAGCACAGGTGCATTTTTCCGGCAAGAAGGTCCATAGCTTTTATCAACTTTTGAGAGGGGTCTGTGGCCTCCCAAAACGTTAAGTGCTGTTCTAGTCCTTGCTTGGTTCTGAAGATGGTGGGTTGGCCCCTTTCCACGAAGATGACTGCATATTTTGGAATTCAAGGTGGATTTTGAGGCCTGGATTCCACCCATTTGAAGAGGGGGCGAGGATGAGGTTGGGGTGCAGCCGAAACAGAATCATGACAGGGAGTGTGTGCCAGGCAGAGCTGTGGCCGCCTCTAATCCAGAGGCGGTGATGGAGTGCCTTCCTCATCGCCTCATTTTTCCCATTGTGACAGCTCCATATCTACTGTTCCCTGTCACCCTGGTGACAGCCTTCTAATGATGAAGGCAGCAACAATGTCATATAAATTCCTCCAGAAACCCAGGGGCTAGAGGAAGATCAGCCTCAGGAAGCTGGGAACCAAATGCTCGGCACCACAAAGTGGAAAGAACAAAGCCTTTAGAATGTGAAAGACCTGAGTTCAAATCCTGCCCTGGCCTCTTCCCACCAGTGTGACCTTGAACAAATTACTGAACCTCTCTGAGTGTCAACTTCCATATTGTAAAATGAGAATAATATATGACAGAGTTATCATGAGGATTAAATGTGATATGCTGGCAGAGAATCTGACATAGTATCTAGCATGCAACAGGCACTCAATAAATGGGTTCCCTTTCCCAGCAGGCATGGGCAGGGACATGCATGCCTCTACCCATCTGCTGTACCACTGCAATATCAGAGAAAAGGAGGTCCTGGGGGGAACAGCTGCTTAGTAAAATGGGAGTGGTGGTCAGAAGCCACATTTCCCCTACACTGTTGACCACATTCTACCAAATCCTCACACCTGGCCCCTTCTCCTCCATGAAGCTCTCCTTACAGTGCTCTTCCCTGACATTCCACAGTTGCCATCTGGGCTTTCCATCTGTACCATGCAGCCTCCCTCCCTTTCTGTCCTGGTGATGGGGGAGGTCACTTTCTCTCCTTTCTCAAAGGGTAGACCCCTTGGCTGGCCTAGCAGCTCCCCCGACAGCCCCATGCCTGCCCACCTCTTCAGATCCTCTCCTCCTCTTCTTTTTCCCCTGCCCTGGACAGGAGCTGGCTGTTCTCTTTTGTGATTTCAGGTCTTTGAACCTGTTGTTCTGGAATGTCTTTCCATTCTCTTATTAGGGAGCTCATAATTATCCTCCAAGTGCCAGCTCAGTTGTCATCTCCTTTGTGACACCTTCCTTCTCTCCTCTTGCTCCCACAACACCTACCCTAGTTTAGCATGAGCCATGGCAAGTCCATCTGCCTCCCCAGACTGAGCTTCTCAAGAGCAGGGGCTGGCTGGGCCTCCCTCATCCCTAGCATCCCCTCACTTGGCATAGGGTCTGCACATGGTCAGTGCTCAATAAATGCAGCTTGGGGTAAAAGAATAAACAACATGGTTCCCAGGGCTAGCAGTGGGACCCTCTTAATAGAAGCTTCCTGTAAAGGTAGCAGTCCCTCCCCAAGGGTAGCTAGCTTGGGTCCTGCTGGAGCAGGCCTGTGTGTAGACTAGGTATGTGGGAGGTTGATGGTTAGAGGACTGATAGGCTCATCCCATCTGGATTCCACACCTATCTACTCCAAGCCACAGGGCAGGGCAGAGGGCTTTCGCCAGCTATCTAGTACTTTCTCCACCTTACACCTGCACAGAGAGGGAGAGGGTGAGGATGGGGTGGGGATGAAGAAGGGAATTCACAGTCATGAGCATTGACAGTGTCATAGGTCCAACTCTTGTGTGACTGGTATACTTAAATCATTATACAGATGGGGAAACTGAGGCGGCTTATTTGCCCAGAGGCATACAATAAGTTGCACTGAGCTAAAATTGGAGCCAGGTTGGTCTGGCCCTAGAGTAACAGTTCTTTTCTTTATAAGATGCTGCCTTCTGCAGAAATCACAAACAGCACCCCAAGGAAACAGGAACAGGGAAAGGCTCATGCTAAAACTTGTGTGTGTGTTGGCATCTCTCCTTAAAGAATGGGTGGAGAATGGGCTGGGTCAGTTGCTAAGGTGGCACTGGGCAGCCTTTCCTCCATCGTGTCTGGACATGGGTAAAAGAATGATTTCACAGTAGGGTTTAGGTCGACAAGGCACTTTCTCATATGTGTGATTGCATGCGGAATCATCATGGCAACTCTCTGAGGCAGGTATTACCATCTCCATGTACTGATAAGGAAACTTCAGAATGGCTGTGTATTAGTCCATTCTCACACTGCTATGAAGAAATACCCAAGACTGGGTAATCTGAAAAGAAAAGAGGTTTAATTGACTCACAGTTCTGCATGGCTGGGGAGGCCTCAGGAAACTTACAATCATGGCAGAAGGAAAAGCAAGAACCTTCTTCACAGGGCGGCAGGACGGAGTGAGTGCAAGCAGGGGAAATGCCAGGTGCTTATAAAAACCATCAGATCTCATGAGATTTATTATCATGAGAAGGGCATGGGGGAAACCACGCCCATGATTCAATTACCACCACTTGGTCCCACCCTTGACATGTGGGGATTATAGGGATTACAATTCAAGGTGATATTTGGGTGGGGAGAGAGAGCCAAACCATATCACTATGTTAGCACAGTGATTTCTCTCAGTAACAACCCAGGGCCTTTAGAGACCTGTCATCCCACCATGCTTGGCTACTTGCAATACCTGGCCAAAGTCTCAACCCCCAAAAAATGGGAGGGGGACCGGAGGAAAAAGTGGTGGCAGGGGAGGAAGACCTCCATGGTGAGAAAAGATGGGGAGGGGGGACTCCAGACACAGGTGAAATGGGAGAAGGGGCGTGGACCAGGCTGCCTGGACTGAACCAGCCCATCTCATTAGGGACCTGACTGCCTGTATTTTAGATCAGAAATACTTGACCTGACAAAACTTGGGATTTATTTCCATGCTTTCTTGGGGTAGGCTGTGTGCGTGTGTGTGTTATTTTTCGTTTAGTTTTTAGTGAACGTTCTTTTCAAAAAAACTACTCTTGTTTGAGTTGAAATTATGGGGAAACAGGGATAGTAGGCACCTGGGTTACTACAACCCAGGAGCAGTGCAGCCCCTCAGGGATGGCAGCTACAGTGGCAGACTCTGGGAGAGCTGGGGGAGCTGGCAGGGAGGAGGGAGAAGTTACATCCGGGGAACAATGGCTGCCAAGGCTAGATTTTCTCCCTTCATGAGAACCTGGGAGCTGGGACTCAGGCAAGATTCATGGGCCAGTCCAAACTGAGATGTGCTGGACAAGTCAATGTCCACCAGCTTTCAAAGATTCAATATGAAAAAAGAATGTGAAATATCTCATTCATGAATTTGTTATTGATTGCATTTTGAAATAATGTTTTTGATATATTGGGTTAATATGTTACTAATTTCACCTGTTTCTTTTGACCTCTTTAATAGGGCTTGCATTATATTTCTATTGGACATATATCTCTATATTCTAACATAGACTGTGGATTAGAAAGACTTAGGTTCAAATCCCACCTCCACCACTTGCTCAAGGACACTTGGCAGGTGAGCCCAGCTACAGCCACCAAAGACAAGATGAGCCCAGCCATGGGGAAAGAGCAACTGGATTCCAAGCCAGGGTTCCGTCTCAACCCAGAAGCTTTTACCCACTTCTTGTAGGGATGGCAGAGCCTCCACGAGTGTGGCTGGCTTGACTTTTGCTGCAATAGGCAAGGGGGTGCCCAAGAACTTGGCCTGCAGTGACTGGGATTGCAAGATTCTGATTCCAGGAAAGGAAGCAAGGAGGTTAAAAAAAAAAAAAAAAGGCTAGAAAGTTAAGGAGAAAAGAAGGCCTTAAAGAGACTGGTCTGGCAGGGTTAATAGTTTCTTTCCTTCAATAGAGATTTCATGCCACATTGAATAAATAAAATACCACACAATTGCAAAAGATGCATTCCACAGTATATTAGATACCACCACACTGTTACCCACATCTGTCAGCTACTACCATCAGAGTGACTGATGACTTATCAAAAGCCACTCTGACATTTCCAAATGAGATATTTTGATAGAGGTGCCATTCAACAGGGCCAAAAAAGCAGATAGAACTTGAATGTAAATGAGGAACATTTGTCACCTTTGTCTCACCTATTTAAAGGTTTCTTGTCTGACAACAAGGAAAGGGAGAGAGGGAGTGAGGGGAGAGGAGGTGGAGGATGGGCAGGTAAGAAGGTAAGAGGGAAGGGGAGAGAGCACCAACTCCAAAAGAGCCCAAAGGAGAAGGGCTGGTCCCTGAGAGCAGTAGGAAGTGAAAGAGAAGCAAAGCCCAGATGGACGGCTCTGATTTTTATGCGGAGTCACTCTATGACTCAGCAGGAAGGAGCAGTATCAAGAACAAAGACCAGAGCTGTCCAAGGTGGCAGCCCCACATGAGGCCACTGGGTATTTGCAATGTGGCCAGTCCAAATGGAGATGTGCTGGACATGTAAATGTACACCAGCTTTCAAAGATTTAATATGAAAAAAGAATGTGAAACATCTCATTCATGAATTTGTTATTGATTGCATTTTGAAATATTTTTGCTATATTGGGTGAATATGTTATTAACTTCACCTGTTTCTTTTTGCCTTTTTAATGCAGCTTGCATTATATTTCTATTGAACATACATTTCTATATTCTGACAGACTGTGGATTAGAAAGACTTAGGTTCAAATCCCACCTCCACCACTTACTCAGGGACACTTGGAAGGTGAGCCCAGCTACAGCCACTGAAGACAAGATGGGCCAAACCATAGGGAAAGAGCACAGGGTTGGAACAGGATGGGCTGGGGTTGGCAGCATGTGTGGAAACAGACAGTGGGGAAAATGTGAAGAGGAAAATGTCAGAGAGGTGCAGCCAACTGCACCTTCCCACAGTGAGAGAGGGCCTGGGCAGGGTGCAGAAGAAGCTGTAACCTCTCCCAAGGCTGCCCTCACTACTGGGTACATCTCAATGCCAAATCCCAGCATGTCAAGAGTTGGAAGAAGCCTGAAAGAGAATCCAATCCAGGGACCCCAAGAAAATAGGCCCAGAGCCAGGAAATTCCTTCCATGTGCTTTCCACTGCTTCCCCCGCAGCACCTCCAGTTCGTATGTCCACTGAATTGAGGGATGGTATCCAAGAAGCAACCGCTGCATACCAACAATGAGGTCCTCTTGTATGGCCCTGAGAGTTTTATTCAAGGGAGGCTTCACCTGCATGGACTTGTTACCACACAGTTGGTCTTCTAGCCTCGCCCCCCCACCCAACCTACTTTTTGGTTAGGTTGGTTTGATTCATTCATCCATTTATACTCTGCAGCTGTGTGCTGAGAACCAGGCCATGAGCTAGGGATACAGAAATAAATAAGACCCATCCCTGCCCTCCAGGACCACACAGTCTAGTGGTTTTGAAATGTGGAGCTGTTCAGACCACAGCCCCCAACCCTTAAGGTGGTGACCTTCCCCACTTTACAGCTAACTGAGATTACCCAGTGGTGGTGGCAGGCCCAGACAGAGATGGCTCCTGACCAGAACAGAGGCCTTTCCACTAGCCGAGCTGCCTCCACTGGCACATGGAGGGAGAGGCAGCTGCGTGGCGCTGGGATGAGGTCAGGCCAGAGTCATCAGAAGTCAGGTGGATGCACCAAAGCCCAGACCCTGGCTTCAGAAAGTACACCAGGTGAAGGGATTTGTGGAAGGCCACAGAGCAAATCAGCATCAAAGCCAGGACAAGAACTCAGGGTTTCTGATTCCTAACTAAACTCTTCAACCAGTGGCGGCGACTCAAAGAGGTGAATGAGCACAGGGCCAGTCTGCAGCCAGGAGCTGCAGCTGACTCCCTTACCTGCTGCTGCTCAGGATGCAGGGTTGGTTCTCGCCTAAGAGCAACCTGCTGAGGGTCAGGCGCTCTGGGCTGAACAGCCCCACATTCAGAAACCACTAGACTGTGAGGTCCTAGAGGGCAGGGATAGGTCTTATTTATCTCTGTATCCGCAGCTCACGGCCTGGTTCTCAGCACACAGATGCAGTGTGTGAACGAATGGATGTGCACATGAATGAATCAAACCAACCCAACTGGAAACGAGGCTAAGTGGGGGTGGGAGGTGGTAGAAGAACATGGACAGGGTTGCCCGGGATGCTTTATTTTCTTCTTTCCTGCATCCCTGAACATGCCAGGCATTGTGCAGGCAAGAGAGGAAAGCAGTATCCAGGAAAGAAGACAGACAATTAAGCAAGCAATAAGAAGAAACATGAAGGGCCGTGAGTTCCTCCTGGGCCTTGACCCCTGTGTGACCTTGACCAGATCCTTCTCCTCTCCAGGCCTTAATTTGTTTAGAGGAACTGGAGTTAGACTAAATGGTCCAAGGTTCACTTCCCACACTGATCCCCATGACTGGCAGACATGGACGTGAGCCCTCTCCCGGCTGCAGAGAATCATGGCCTCTCCCCACCATGGCAGTAGGGGGTATGGGGAGAGCAAGGCCAGGCAGAGGCAACCTGGCGTGAAGAAGGCAAACAGACACTCCTGGAAGCAGGGTCCCCAGAGACTGTGCAGCCAGAGGTAACTGGCTGTGACAAGGAGTGAGCCAGTAGTCAATTCCATTCAATAAAACTTTGATTACCTATGAGCCTTGTAAACAGGCAGCTCCCCTGTGGGCTGAGCCGGAGGTGCTCTCTTCTTCCCTCCCTCTGTCCTGCCAGCACCTGCCCAGCCTGGCCCTGGGCCCTGTGCCAGCCCAAAAACTTCCTCAGCCTCTGATGCAAGGGGGGCAGCTGAGGGTTAAGTGCCCACTGGCAGGTGAGGGCTCAGGGCCTAGGGGCAGTGGGAGGGGAGGGAGCAGGAATCACTTAGCCCTCATTAGTCCAAATTAAAATCAGGAGTGAGATGACAATTCCAATTTGCAGTGGGCTAATTGTTTTCCCTCAGAAGCTGATCATTTTGCAGACTGGGGAAATTAATTGTTTGAAGTCCCAGGTGCATTGGCTTTGAACCCAGCGCAGGCCAGACAGGCTCTGCCTTTACCTCGTCACCACCCCTCAGGGACACACTCAGCAGTGGCTTCTGCCCTTTGGGATTCTCAGGCAGGGAGAGACTGAGGGTCAGGGGTGAGGGTAGGGGTCCTACTAGTCTTACCCTCAGGTGGGAAGAGGGAAGAACACTGGCAGAGAGGTAGGCTGGGAGATGCCAGCAGCTGGGGCCTGGCATCCAGGAGGGGTTGCTTTGCCTACCTGATGCCACCTGCTCTGCGGAGGGGTGTATGTAGGAAGCCTCCTTGGACCTGCCAGAAGTTCCCACTTCCACTCTGCATCCAAAAGTCCCTGTAAAGTTCACTCACTCATTCAACAAACATCAACAACCCACTGTGTGCCAAGTGTTGCTTCAGGAGGGCTGGGGACACGGCACTGAACAACTCAAACACAATCTCTCCGCTCATGGATTTTACTTGGGGGGATAGATGGACAATAAATGTGTAAGTAGACATCAGAGAGTGGTAGGGGCTCGGAAGGAATGACAGACAGCAGGAGGGATGGGGCTCCAAAGACTCCCACACTCTAATCCCAGAGCCTATGGAATCTGTCACCTTCCAGGGCAGAAGGAATCCTGCAGATGTAATTACGGTTATGAACTTTAAGATTAGAGAATGTCTTGGATTATCTGAGTAGGACAAATCTAGTCACATGAGTCATTAAAGCAGCTTTCTCCAGCAGCAGGCAGAAGAGGGATTCCAAGCGTGCGATGATCTGATATCCTGTTGCTGGTTCTGAGGAAGCTGTGCACAAGGACTGGAAGGCACCATCTAGGAGCCGAGGACCACCCTCAGCTGCCAGCCAGCATGGAAACAGGGACCTCAGTCCTACAGCCACCTGAATGAGCTCAGGAGCGGATCTCCTAGAGTCTTCAGATAGAGTCCAGCTGGCTGGCACCTTGATTTTGGCCTTTTGGAAACCTGGAGCAGAGAAATCGGCTGAGCCAACCCAGACAGACTTCTGGCCGACAGAGCTGTGAGATGGCAAATGTGTGTTTCTTTAAGCTGCTATGTTTGTGGTGATTTGTTATGGCAGCAATAAAAAGCTATTTCAGGAACTAAACAGGGTCAGAGGAGAGTGACTTGGTGCTGTGTTAACTTGGGTGGCCTCTTTGAGGAAGGGACTGACACCTGGATGATGAGGAAGCAGAGTGGGGTGACCAACTTGTCCCCATTTCCCAGTTTCAGCATTTAAGTCCTGCATCCCCCCAAAACCCCCCAGCCCCAGGCAAACCAGATGGCTTGTCACCATATGGCAGAAGGAATGGCCTGGGCAATGGCTTGGGGAATGAGAGCTTTCAGGTGAGTTGTCACAAAAAGCATCCCAAGGGAAGTTCTGTCGGACACAGGAGCAGGTGATGGGGGCTGCTGGGGAATCGCTCAGAAAACTCTTTCAAATGGGGACTGAGCAACTCTAGCTGAGGATAGGTGAGAACTCCCAGCCCTCCTTCCAGAACCCCATCCTCCTGCTGTAGGGCCTAAGAATTACCAGCCCCTGCCTGCCCTGCCCCGAGGCTGCTTCCTTTCTCCCCTGGCCCAACTCCCTTCCCCAGCCGGCCCCTGCCAGGGCCCAGGTGTCTCCCAGTGCCCGGGTACCAGGTGCCTGCTGTGGCTTTCCCCAGTGGGATGCTGGCATTCTGCCAAGCAGCACACAACAGGGGAAATTTTTGAAGCCGTCTTTAATTAGTGAGACAATAGGAGGCTGGGAAGCAGAGAAGACAAAGGTTGCGGATGGCTTCACACCCTGTCAAAACAGCGGCTGTGAGCCTGAAGAATGCCTGAGAGAGAAAGGGAGACGGAAAAACGGAGATGGGCCATGGGACCCTTCCCCCTCCTCTCTCCCCTTCGCCCTCTCCTCTTCACCGCCCCCCCCCCGCCCCCCCGCCGCCTTCCTCCTTGCCTCCCTGAACCACAGCTGCAGGCGCCTTGACATTAACCCACCCCTCTCCCGGTTCAGCTGGTCACCTCCCAGCGCTGTTTCGAGTCAGGTAAGAGGCAGCTGTTTAGGAGTTCAGCAAGGAGGCAGAAGAGCAAAGAAGGACCGAGCTAAAGTTTTGGCTCCTTGTCTCATTATCTGGATGATGCCTGGCAAGTTAATTGCTGTGGGTCTCAGTTTTCTCTTCTGTACAATTAGAGTAATAATGCCTACTTTGCAGGGTGGTGGTTGTAAAGATTAGAGATGTCAAAAAGTGCCCCACATGGAGTAGGTACTGGATAAATGGCAGCTATTTCTAATATGAGAGCTTGCACCTCCCATCCTGGATCCCAGCCCTCCAATCCAATATTTCTCAAACTAAGAGCGTGCCCACGAATCACCCAGAGAGCTTGTTAACATGCAAATACCCATCCCACTCCTCAGGGTGGAGCCCGGACACCTGCAGATTGAACAGCTTCCAAGCAGGTGATTCCAATGCAGGCAGCTGGGTCTGCCTCCTGGGAAAAGAGCTAGCCCAGGGCAGTCCTGCAACTGGGTCCATTTCAGAAGCCATTCCCCTACAGATGGAGGGTGCTGGCAGGGAGGTGAGGTCTTGCCTATCCCACCAACTTGCTACCTTCACGTGGGGGTCTGTCCCGGGTGCAGCCTCCACATCTAAGCAAGGTGAGTTGGTCCTCAGGTCAGAGCTTCTGCGGAAGGGACCTCGGTATCCACCTCATTCTGCTTCCTTTTCAATGGAAGAAGCAGAGTCCCACAGCAGGGAAGTGACTAGTATTAGATGGTGCAAAAGTAATTGCGATTTTTGCCATTGAAAGTAACAGCAAAAACCACAATTACTTTTGCACTAGCCTAATATTAATATAAGGGCACACACTGAACTCTGGGCTTCTGATTCTCATCTGCAAGATACAAGTACCCAGCTACAAGATTGCTAGTCCCTCTCAATTCAGAAGTTCTAAGTTTCTCTAGGAGTTGGCTCCACTGACCCCAGGTTGGGAAACCGTGAAGGAAGCCTGAGGCTGATTGCCTTCTTGATCTCTAATCAATTTCTTCACACCTCTCTGATTTCTGGGCCAGGACGGCTGCTTCTCCCTTGCCAAATAATGATAGGCTGACCCTTACTGAACACTTGGTATGAACTAGGAACTGTTCTAAGCACTTTACTTGTATTAACCCATATCAGCCTACAACAACCCTGTGATGCCTTTATCCTCATTTATAAATGGGAATCTAAAATACAGAGATTGGCCCGGGTGCAGTGGCTCATGCCTGTAATCCTAGTGCTCTGGGAGGCAGAGGCAGGAGGATCACTTGAGACCAAGAGTTCAAGACCAGCCTGGGCAACATAGTGAGACTCTGTCTCCACAAAATATTTAAAAAATTAGCCAGGTGTGGTGGTGTGCAACCTTAGTCCCAGCTACTTGGGAGGCTGAGGCAGGAGGATCACTTGAGCCCTGTAGGTCAAGGCTACAGTGAGTTAGGGTAGTACCACTGCACTCCAGCCTGGGCAACAGAGTGAGACCCCATCTCAAAAAAAAAAAAAAAGAAAAACTATTTAGCTGGGCATGGTAGCATGCACCTGTAGTCTCAGCTACTCAGGAGGCTGATGTGGAAGGATCACTTCAGTCTAGGAGTTCGAGGCTGCAGTGAGCCATAATTGTGCCAGTGCACTCCCTCTTTGGTGACAGTGTGAGACCCTGACAAAAAAAAAAAAAAAAAAAAAGGATCTAGAGATTAAGTAACCTGCCTGGGGTCAAACAGCTGAAGCTGGGATTTGAATCTCGGCAGTCTGGCCCCAAAGTCTGTGTGCTTAACCACTGAGGAAGATTGTCCTTGAAGCCATACTTGTAAGTACATGATATACTGCCAACCCAAAGTCAGTAAGGACTGGTGTAAAGCGGACTGGATTAAGAATTAGAAGACCCAATTACCCGAGAAGGGGTACGAGGAGCCTTCTGGGTACTGAAATGTTCAAAGCTGTTCACTGAAGATTTATGGGTTTGAATACTGTAGACAAGTTTAATCTTAATGAAAATCAGAAGGCTTGGGTTTGTCCCAACGGTGGCCTATTTATTAGCTGTGTGACTATTAGCTTGTTAGGCCTTAGTTTTTTCATCTGCAAATCAGAACAATTAGAATGAAAGCCTGCTTTCTTAGTTGATAAGGAAGTTGTACAAAGTTCTTTCTTTGTATAGCAGGTCCCATCCAGCTGTCTTGATCCTTTTTGCATCCCCTGATCAAAAACTCTCCACCAAACTCTCCCTGGCGGTACTCATAGCATATGTGGCTACTTCCATCCTTCCCTGGACCAGAAGCTCTTTGATTCCATCCAAACATCCAAGTCATCCAACTTTGTGCTCATGCAGAAGTGGCACTTGGTAGTTACATCCATCATTGGCATTAACCAGTGCGTGCTGGAACCAGCTTGCCCCAGTCCATGAGAGCTGATGGAGCTCACCTCTTCCCAACTCCACCCTCAATAACATTACATAGTAGGTTGAAATTGGCTGTGATGGAAATACTGAAAACTATGAAAATTGGCAAACACTACAAATCAGGACTTCCCTTCTTGCCACCCCCCCAGCACAACACCCCTGCCATGAACCCAAAATGTTCCTCTCAAGTAGGCCCCAGGAGGTTTATAAGAGCTCTGGGACTACCAGTAGCTGGGGAGCTGTGGTCTGAGTGTAGCTGTTCTGAAACTTTAATGGGTGCAAAAGACATTCTCCATTCTCTAGCCCCTGTGGACATTCCAAGCTCCCCCAGGCCTTGCCTGAAGAAACAGCTGAGTGGCAGTGGGACACAGGTGGCTGGACCCAGCTGAGGTAAGTCCTCCAAGAGTGGAAATGAGGTAAGTTCTCCGACAGCGGAACTGACCACCCCAGCAAGTGGTGCTAAAACCTTGATGGCATCCCTACTTCAGGTCTCACCAAATTTATGCTCTACATTTGGTGGGTTTTGTTTTTGTTTTCTTGAGACAGGGTCTTGCTCTGTCACCCAGGCTGGAGTGCAGTGGCGCGATCTGGGGTCACTGCAGCCCCTGTCTCCCAGGCTCAAGTGATCCTCCCACCTCAGCCTCCCAAGTAGCTGGGACTACTGGCATGTGCCACCATGCCCAGCTAATTTTTTAAAAATGTTTTTGTTTCTTAGAGAAGGGGTCTTACTTATTTCCCAGGCTGATCTTGAACTCCTGGGCTCAAGTGATCTGCCATCCTAGGCCTCCCAAAGTGCTGGGATTACAGGCATGAGCCACCATGCCCAGCCAGGTGAGGTTTTTTTGTTTTTTTTTTTCTCCTCCTTCCTTTCTCTTCCTCTCTACATTCATTCAAGCACCAATTCCATGTATTTTCTCTGCCAGGCACTGGGAATAGATACAAGATGAACAAGATCCAGCCTCTGTCCTGAGGGAGATCTGTACCTAGCAGGGCAGACTGACAGACTCACAAATATGACTGTGGCCCTGGGGGCTGCCGACAGGACAAGGGCACCGAAACGCAGGATAATTGTGTTCAGAGCAGCACAGTGGCCCCCAGAGCTCCACGCTCCATATCTTTCCTTCCCTCCCTTTCCTTCTCTTCTTTTTTCTTTTCTTTTTTGAGACGGAGTCTCGCTCTGTCGCCCAGGCTGGAGTGCAGTGGCGCGATCTCGGCTCACTGCAAGCTCCACCTCCCAGGTTCACGCCATTCTCCTGCCTCAGCCTCCCCAGTAGCTGGGACTACAGGCGCCCGCCACCACGCCCGGCTAATTTTTCGTATTTTTAGTAGAGACGGGGTTTCACCCTGTTAGCCAGGATGGTCTCGATCTCCTGACCTCATGATCTGCCCGCCTCAGCCTCCCAAAGTGCTGGGATTACAGGTGTGAGCCACCACGCCTGGCCCCCCTCTATTCTTTCTTTGTCTCTTCTCTATCTCTGGCCTGCCCTTGGCTGTCTGCATCCACGTGTGTCAAAGATATAGTAACTGGTAGGTACAGTATGACATTCTTATCGAAAAATTAGAAGGTATAGAAAAACATGGAGAAAATTTAAACAATCCCCTTTTCTACCTCCTGGTGCCATAACCACTGTTAACATTTTGATGCATATCTTTTCAGGCTTTTTCTTATGATAGTAAATATTCTTAACAATTTGTCTCTCCCTGAGGTTCATGTCATCTTTCTTGTTTTCCACCTTGTTTTGGTAGAGTACATCTTTTTTGAGTTGCTTTTGAAAAAGAGCTAAGTTTCTTGAAAGTCTGAGTGTTTGAAAATTTTGGCACGAACATTTTTGCAAATGTTTGCATGTCTTTATTGAGCCTCCATATCTGACAGTTTGACTGGAAATATAATTTCAGACTGTAAATAACATTCCCTCACATGTTGGAAGACACAGTTCCATGACCTATTTGCGTCTAGGGCTGCTGTTGAGAAGTCTGCTCTATCCTAAAGCCTGTCTTTTTCTTCCTGGCTTGTGGAATCTTCACTTTATACCTGACATTCTGAAATCTCAAAATGTTGTGTCTTTGTGAGGGTCTCTTCTTCATTAATTGTGCTGGGCACCTAATGGATCCTCGCCATCTGCAAAGTAATCATCTTCATTGAAGGAAACAACATATTTTAAGTCTCCAAGAACTTGTTCTCTGCATCTTCCTTAAAAAATAAAAATCACCCAAATGTCTACCAACTGATAGATGGATAAAAAAATATGGTATATCTGACAGGCGTGGTGGCTCACGTCTGTAATCCCAGCACTTTGAGAACCGAGGCGGGTGGACCATCTGAGGTCAGGAGTTTGAGACCAGCCTGGCCAACACGGCGAAACCCCCGTCTCTACTAAAAACACAAAAATTAGCCGGGTGTGGTGGTGCAGACCTGTAATCCCAGCTACTTGGGAGGCTGAGGCAGGAGAATCACTTGAACCCGGGAGGCGGAGGTTGCAGTGAGCCAAGATCACCCCATTGCACTCCAGCCTAGGTGACACAGTGAGACCCCATCTCAAAATATATATCTATGTGTCTATATATATGTATATATACACACACACACACACACACACACACGCATATATATGGTATATCCATACAATGCAATAATATTCAACTACAAAAAGGAACGAAGTAATGGCACATGCTACAACCTTTGAAAACATGCTAAGTGGAAGATGCCAGACACAAAGGCTACGAATTGTATGATTCCATTTCTATGACACGTCCAGAATAAGCAAATCTATAGAGACAGAAAGCAGACTAGTGGTTGCCAGGATCTGGGGGAAGGGGAGAATGAGGAGTGGCTGCTGATGGGTATGGAGTTTTTTGGGGGCGATAATGAGAATGTTTTAGAATTAGATAATGGCAATGGATGTACAACCTTGTGAATATATAAAAAACTACCAAATTGTACACTTTAAAATGGTGAATTTTATGGTATGTGAATTATATCTCAATTTTTTAAAAAGGCCCCATGATCTTCTTTTGTGGGTATAATGTCGTCTCTCAACTCTCTGAGGATATAAATTGAGGTGGTGATGATGGTTTTTATTTTTTCTTTTGCTCCCTGCATAGTATTTCCTTTCTTCAAGTTTTTATTTATTGTTTATTTTGGCTTATGCTTTCTTAACATTAGACACCTCCCTTAAAATTCTAGTAAGCCTTAGCCAATGGTTCTTTTTTTTTTTTTTTTTTTTTTTTTGAGACTGAGTCTCACTCTGTCGCCCAGGCTGGAGTGCAATGGCGTAATCTCGGCTCACTGTAACCTCCACCTCCCAGTTTCAAGCCATTCTCCTGCCTCAGCCTCCGGAATATCTGGGACTACAGGCACGTGCCACCATGCCTGGCTAATTTTTATATTTTTAGTGGAGACGGGGTTTCACTATATTGGCCAGGCTGTTCTCAAACTCCTGACCTCAAGTGATTTGCCCACCTTGGCCTCCCAAAGTGTTGGGATTACAGGCATGAGCCACCGTGCCCAGCCAATGGTTCGTATTTACAGCCGATTGGAAAGGGCAGGGCTTAACTGAGAGGAAGGGGGTCTCCCAAATATCATCACTTGTCCAACTACCAGTATTTTTAGACCCAGCTGGAAGAAATGACCAAAAGGCTTCCCCATTTGGCTTGGAAACTTTGAGCAAATGCTCACTTTTCCAACATACTGCCTCATCTCTACTCATACTTGTACCCATATCCCCAAGTCAGCACTTTTTGGGTTCAGTCTCTTTGGAGAGCAAAGTTTTCTTCAGGATGCTCTAGGGTAAAGCAGGGACAGACATGGGGTGACATGGGGTGAGGAAGGGATCTGAGGTATCACTCTCCTGTTTCTGGCCCTACTCCATACCCTGTCTTCAGATGCCAACCATTTCTCAGCCTCTCTGTGGTTTTATAGCAGGAATCTGCCCATTTCTCATTGACTCCCCTCTTTGGGAGCCTCTGGGTTTTTCTTTCTCTATCAAGCCAAGTCAGTTACCTTCTCAAGTTCCAAAATTGTACTGACATTTCTTATTCGCTTTCATCTCCTCCCCTGCCCTTGTGGGCCTGCATCTTTTTTACTCCTTTACTTCTAGTGTGGTTTGGGGAGGCAGCACAAAGCACCAGAGATGTTAGTCCATCATGTTTAAACAGAAGTCCCTCCTTGCTACTGTCATTCAAAAGTGGCAGTCGCTGGTATTCTCCGTTTATCATAAGGTGGCTTCTGCCATTATGACCAACCTCAGTCTGACATGAAATAGTATGTAATGCTGACTTGCCAGTGCTGTGAGACCAGCAGGGGAACCTCCTGGCAAGCTGAGAGTTGGGTGACTTTGCCCTCAATAGCCATCCTCATTACATTTCTCAGTCATACTTTACTGCATTTTATGGGGGAAATTATGTGGTAGTCTCTAATCCACGGATTCATGAAGGGCTATGATGTATCCCTTGAGAATGTCAAGGGCCTACTGTACCTCTGTCACTATGGAAACTAGTTCCCTGGTAGCAATTAGGCTTAGCAACATCCACAATGGTGCAATGCACATGGATTCTGGCTCTGGTAATGGACAGGGAGCAGTCCCTGGAGACAGGGCCACACTTACCCTAATGACAGTCTCCGGGGTCTTCATCCAGCCTGAGCACCCTGCATGGAGCCCGGCCTGAAGTGCTCCAGCTCAGAGGAGGAGGAGGGAGAGGGTAAGCCTGTTTGGCCCACTGAAATCTGGAATTATTCAAGTGCTCCTGGAATGGCTTTCCAAACCCAGCCTCCCAGGACATCTGTCTTACGGCCACCTAAGAGAATGAGGTTTAAGGTGGTCAACAGTTCATAATCTACCTTCAGGTGTGTGTGTGTGTGTGTGTGTGTGTGTGTGATGGATAGTTCAAAAGTCACTTGTGTTTGGCTTTGAAATGCATTGTAGGATTTTTTTCCCCAGTGTATTTACTATGCAAATGAGTTACTATGTGTGAAGTGTTTAAAACAGCCTGGCTCATGGTAAGTGCCTTATAAGTGTTTGCTATTATTATTACTAAAACTGTATTTAGCTTGGATCCATATGAAAACAAATTTGCATTCCTGGACTCTTTGAAACTCACTAAACTCAACAAAAAATAGTAGATAAGACAGAGACCCAGGGACTAAGAACTCCTGGCTCATTGACCCCTCTTTACATAATAGAGAATAAGCCATCATCCAGATATTTTGTTTATTGGTTTGCCCCATTCACTGGATTGGTGAACTCCCTGCCAGGCCCACTCCTTGACACTTTACCAAGAACCAATGAGTTGATGCCTGTAAAGGCATCTGTGAGCTGTCTCTTTCCAGAGGACCCTCAAGGCTGCTTCTTCCTGGTCCAGGGGGTGACAGCAGGCCAAGCTCCATACCCTTGGCTTGTTCACAGGACTCCTGCTCCTCTCCAGGTCTCCCGTCCACCCTCGTTTCTCCTTCCAGCTCCACCCTCGTTTCTCCTTCCAGCTCCACCCTCGTTTCTCCTTCCAGCTGTCCTTCCTCCTGTTTATAGATGTGTCTCCATCTCCCCTTGCCTTTTCTGTTGTCATCCCCATCATCTCACTTTCTTTCTTTTCCTCCTCTGGACTGGGAGTTCCTTAAGGGCAGGTCTTGTTTATCTTGTCAGTCTGAACACCTAGAATGGGGCCTAGTAAATAGCAGATGTCCAAAATATTTTTTTCCTTTTTGGACTGATAAATCCTCTTTCTTTATTGCCTTGCTTCTGAGGTATCTGCCTTGTGTCCTCTACTTTCTCCCTTCTCCCCGCCTTACACAGACACACACACACACACACACACACACACTCTCTCTCTCTCTCTCTCTCTCACTTCGTCTTAGAGCCTCTTGGGCTGCTCTTCTGCCTGGCTGTGCGTGTGAAGGAGGTGGTGTTTCCCATCCTTGGGAAAGCCCTTCTGACCTCAGTGGTGGCAGGGAGAGGCCTAAATAAGTTGCACAACTCAGAATGTCAGGATTGATACCTCCTGATGAGAAGCAGGCTTGTTCTGTGCAATTTCCATCTCATTTGTCTTTTCATTTGTAGCTTAAATTGGCCAATTTCATCTGGAATGTGCCTGGACTCTCTGGCAAGCCATATACTACAAATGAGTGTCCCAGTAGCTGTCTACAGAGGGACTGGCAGGGGAGTGGGCCCAGGTCCTCCACAGCAGCATTGGTGACGGCTCCTGGGCCTCTGGAAGCACTAATGCTTGGAGGATTGGGGCCGAATGTGATCTCCCCAAGGCCTGAGGAGGGGAGGATGGAGGAAACTGCAATGAGAGGGAGTTAGGGCTAGGTCCTGAAAAATCTGGTTGATTGATTGATTGATTAATTTTTTTCTCTCTCTCTATCAGAAGAGGGTAAGGTACATGGGATGGAAGAGGAGTTGTTTGTACTTTTAAGAGTGGGCAGAAGTGATACAATGTGGAGCAAAAGAATACAAATACTCCATTCACATGAAATTCAAAAACAGGCTAAACTAGGTCTACGCTGCTAGAATGCTGAGTGTAAGAGAGCCTTTTAGGGGGCTAGAAATGTCCTACATGTTGTTTTATATCTTGATTTGGGAGTGGTAATATGGGGATGTTGTATACCCCATATTCAAACTCAAGTTGCCCACGTGATTTGTTTGCTTCACTATATGAGTTCTACCTCAATAAAAATGGGGGGAAAAGTCACACCAATGGTTTTCGAACTTTCCTGTACATAAGAATCCTGTGGGAGCTTATCTACAATGCAGATTTCTGGCCAGCCTGGAATCTAGTTGATCTGAAGTGCTGTCGGGAATCTGCATCTGAGTGCCCCACACCCCCAAGGGTGATCTTGAGACAGGTGTTCCACAGACCAGAAAAGACCACACAGGGGCTTGAACATCTGCCCAGTTAGATGGCCTAAGCGCCATCCTGCTGGGAGCCATGAGGGGCAGCTGGGTGGCTGAGGGCTCCCGGATGCCCTTGGCAGGGAGGGTTAGAGGTTGACTATGCTGCAGCATAGAGAAAGTACGGTGAGGACAGCAAAAGCGGTAGCAGGAAACGAGGGGCTGCTCTCTGGGCTAAGAAGGACCAGGACAGAGAGTGGATCTTCTCCTCAGGGATGAGAATCTCTCTGAGCAAAGAATGCTTTGCTGCACCCCTGCACCCCTGCACCCCTGCACCCTGGGCACCCTGCCCCAGGATGGCTGGGCAAACCTCATGGAGTGGCTTTGGCACAGGAAGGGTAGCCACTGCAGAAAGCTGGACCCCAGCAGATGTGGAGTTTCATGGAATAGCCTGATCCCTCTGCAGGGTCTGGAGACTGACGTGATCAGTTCTGTATCTGTATCTTCAGCAGGCACCTTCTGTCCAACAGGAAGAAGGAACCCAAGACTGAAGACCCACAGCTAAAGGTGAAACCTTGGGGAGGGTGTAGACAACGTGGCACTTCCATAGACAAATGCCAGGATAGTCTGAGCATTTGAAAATGTGGGCAAATGATGACTTGAGCTGTCCTTGACTTGAGGGCCTGGGAGAGCTAGGATATAGTGAGGGGGAGCTACATACAGGGAGTGGGAAAAGGGGCAGGGGCATCTACCATATGCCAGACCCTTTACAAACACCATCCCATTTAATCCTCCAGTAATTCTCTGGCATAATTTACTTATGTCAACTTTACAGATGATGAAACTAAGACTAAGAGAAGTTCACCAACTTGTCCAAGGCCACAACTCACAGTGGAATCTGAACTCGGCTCCATATGACTCGAGTCCCACGATCTTTTCATGTTCCCTGCTACCTCTCCCTCTCAGCCTGCTACAGTGATGGGACATTTATGAACTTGCAAAATGCTTTCTCACAAATGATCTTATTTGATTTTCACAAACATGTGTGAGGCAGGTATAAGTTCTGTTCTATGGATGAACAATTGGTCTTCAGGTAAAGAACAACTTGTCCAAGGTCAAATAGCTGATAAGTATCTGGGAACTGGGACCTAAATACACATTTGATGAGTAACTTTGCCACAATATCTTATCTGGACACTTGAAAACATACTCCAGCCCTGTCATAAACCCAGGAGAATTTGAAGATGTCCCTCCCTACTTACAGCCTGGTTTCATGATCACTAGAAACTTGTTTAACTAAACTCCTTTCTGTTCTCAGGATGGCTCAGGGGACTGAGCTGGAAAAAAAAAGGCCTCAGAAGGGAAATGGAGGCCCAGAAAGCTTTGGTGAGCAGCTCGAGATTACATAGGACATGGAGACCAGAACTCATGTTTCCTCAAATAGTTCATTTCCAGGGGGCTTTTAGGCTATTAATTCTATAATCTGCCCTCTGTCTGCCTCAGGGACTCTCCCCTCCAACCCCCATTTGGACCATGAACTGATGCCAATGGCACCAAGGAAGCATCAACTGATACTGGGCAGAAGGGCAGGGCAGTGGCCCCTGGGAGTCTTCATGGCTCCTCTGGCAGAAAGTACCTGGAGGCATCAGCTCATGGACCTGGAGCATATCAGCAAGGAACAGAGATAAACTGTACCGCATCACCACCCTGGCACTACTCATGAGAAACTTTCCCAACCATTATGCTTGGTTGACTTGGCCGGAAAGGAGTTAACACACAACATGTGAGGAGTACACTGAGTAGGGAGCTGTGTTCTTGGGTGACCTGTGGGTATCTGGGCCCATTTAATGCACCAAGTCTTCAAATAGTGGCAGCCATCACAGGCTCTTCTGTCTGCTTGTGCATGCACATGGGGATCCTTCACTTGGTGGCTTCTCCCCAAGCAAACGTTTTTAGCCCATCCTGGATTCTCCTCACTGCCCTCTCTACCCTGGGAAATGCAACCCACATTGTCCAAGTCAGACCTAATTAGACCAGCAAATCAGTGGCACTCAAGTCATCACAGCACACTCCAAGCACAAGAGGAAATGCTGTGTAGGTTATCCTGTGCGCTGCTTGTTGTGTCTGTTTGTGTTTCCTTGGATTATCCATTCTCTGCTCCCTGCCTTCCATTACCTCACTAATGGAGAGGCAGGATGCAGTCCTCCACAGGCCAGCATTCATCTTCCCAGTCTGACCCTCTCGGAGGCTATTACGCTGCTGTCGCAAGATCGACGAGGGGAGAAAAATGAAAACAGTGCACAGGGAACAATGGAGGGCAAATGGGACTCTTTTAGAACCGGATCCACTGATACGTCAGGCCAAGGAGAAATGACCACAAGCTCTGAAAAGTGGAGAGCTCCCCCAGACGGCAAAGCCAGGTGAGTGGGCTTCCCCACTGGGCTGCCCACAGTAAGAGGCCAGGCTGGTGGGGATAGAAGGGTGTCTGTCTGCAGAAGGCTGGGCAGCCTAGGCCCCACAAAATGAGAGGAAGGTTACTGAGGTCATTGCTGCCCCTGCCTCAGTTAAAAAATTAGAAATCCTCCCCACCCAGCTCTGTTTGTCTCCCCACAAAGCATTGCAGAAGAAAACACGGAAGCCGCCAGCACTATTATGCATTCATGATTCCAGCTTCAACCAGTCCTCTCTGCTGCAATCCCTTTATTCCTCCTCTGCAGCTGCCCCGGCACCTCTGCACAGTCCTTTTCTGAATCTGCCCCTCACCGTGCTCCCCACCTGCACGCCGTCCTCAGAACAGATTGCCTTGCCTGACCTCCTGAGGCCGACGGAGATGGTGATGTGACCTCCTTTGCCCTCCATCACTGTGCCTCCCACACCTCTGCGCAGCTCGTTCATTCTCTCTCCCTCCACTCTGACTTAAGGGAAGAGGAATTTTAAAACCAACCTCATCCCTTCCCACCTCCTCAGGAAACTCACTCCTTTGCTTACCCTCTCTCCACTTTTAAAAATAACGATATAAATGCCCCTTTCGCCTGTGATTCCTTCTGAGCACAGACCCTTCTTGCTTAAGCCCCTGTGAGTTAATTTTCAGTCTCACAGCTCTTCTCAATCCAACAGTATTTTTGCAGCTTTCAGCCTCGGGAAGCTCTTGATGGGCTCGTCTGCCACGCTACCAACTTCCTTCTTGGAAGTCCCTCCCCGTCTTCTGCGTCTGCCTTGTGCCCATTCTCCCTCTGGGGTCAGTCCTCTGCCGTCCGGCAGGCCCATCCTCCACTCCCCATTATGGTCCCTCTTTACAGCCTCATCTGGTCTCTCATTACACTCTGCAGTAGCCTGATGGTCAGCTCTTTAATCAAATCCCATTCAGTTCCCTAAAGTACCAAAGTTCCCCATGAGTCCCTAGAACAGTGTCCTAAATCAGACACGTCACCCTCTCTACCCCAATACTGGCCCCACTTCCTCACCGGTCTATCCTCCCCAGCAGTCCATTTCATCTTCCCAGGTGAGGTTCCATTCTCTTTAGGAAGATAATGCTTCAACTCCTCCTTTGAATTGCCCCTAACTTGGATCACAGATGGACGTGAAAGAAAAAAAAAGAAAAAAAATTTAAAAAGAATTGCCTCTAACAACAGAGTGATCATGCATTCCCGGGGGTCTCAGGGCGCAATCCCACATGGCTCGCCAAAAGGCCAAAACTTCTTTAAAGTCTCATTTTTCCTTTTTATTTTTTTGGAGACAGGTTCTCCTCCTGTCACCCAGGCTGGTCTTGAACTCCTGGGCTCTAAGTGATCCTCCCACCTCCGCCTTCCAAAGTACTGGGGTTACAGGTATGAGCACCCCCACAGCCAGCCCTTAATTGCTTTAGGGGTGAGTCGACATCATTAGTAGTTGCTTGAGGTCAAGACCCACAGTTTTACCCTTTTTATCTGTCCCTCCTACTTGTGGCCCATGGTAAGGCCTTGATTGGCCAAAACCATGGGTTCCCCTTGACGCCACAGGGCACTCTCTGTGAAAGGCCCACCCTGGAGACCCCACTTATCTCCAATGTGTCCCTGGAGGCTGGGGTTGGCTCTCTTGTCACCTCACTTTTCAAAGGGACAGTGGGAGCTGCTCAAGCAAGCCCATCTCCTGGGCGCTGTGCCCAGGACAGAGACTAGTCCAACTTGTGGTTCCTTTCCAATCACTTAATCACATTTGGCTCTTCACACCTGAGGTTAAGGACTTCCAACAGCTCCACAAATCCTCTGCAATTAAACCTCCTGAGGCCCCCACTGAGTGAAAATAACTCACTGCTTCCACAAGCAAAAACACCCCAGTAGACTTTTCAGCTTAGCATGGACACTTTCGGAACCCAACCAATTGTTTCTGCAGACTGCGTTGGCACAGCCTGACCCAGCACCTGCTGGGAGGGTGGTGGTACAGGAAGAAGCAGGAGTTGGAAGGGTTGCTTTGCATTTTGATAAAATGAGCAACCTGCAAATTCGATGCAAAATACTATGAAAAGATGGCATATATTAATTTGGAACCAAAAGCTCTGGGCATTTTAGGCAATAAAATGCCAGCCCTGTATGTGGTCATATTTACTGCCCCAATTTTCCTTTCCTGATATTCTAAGTAAAACGGAAAGTGTAAGATATTGAGAGGGACATATTCCTCTCCTGTGAATGTCTAGGCATAGGAATAAGTTGGTCATGATACAAGTTATGTAAATATAAATGCCATCTCATCCATATCCTCACTGGCAAACATTTATTGAGCACCTACTATGTGTAAAACACCATGCTAGGTGCTAAGTGAAGAGCATAAAGTACCCTCATTCAGTTGAGCTTGTACAATAAACGTTTGTTAGGTGCTTATTGCTAAACATTTATTAAGTGCCACTTGCTAGTCATGTGATCCTGGGCCAGTTAGCTTTCTCACTTGCAAAACGAGGTAATGCCAATGCCCTTCAGTGGGTGGATGGTTAAATAATTGTGGCACATCCCTATCATGTTATACTACATGGTGACAAAAAAGAACAAACTAACTACTGATATAGGCAACTACTTGGATGAACCTCAAGGAAATTATGCTGAATACAAAAAAAGCCACTGGGCGCGGTGGCTCATGCCTGTAATCCCAGCTCTTTGGGATGCCAAGGCAGATGGATCACTTTAGGTCAGGAATTTGAGACCAGCCTGGCCATCATGGTGAAACCCAGTCTCTACTAAAAATACAAAAAATTAGCCAGGCGTGGTGGCCCACACCTGTAATCCCAGCTACTCGGGAGGCTGAGGCCGGAGAATTGCTTGAACCTGGGAGGCAGAGGTTGCAGTGAGCCAAGATCATGCCACTGCACTCCAGCCTGGATGCCAGAGTGAAACTCTGTCTCCAAAAAAAAAAAAAAAAAAAAAAAAGCCAACAGCAAAAAATTACAGACTCAATGTTCCCATTTATATAACAACTGTGAAACAACATAATTATAGAGATGAAGAATAGCTGAGTGGCTGACAGAGTGCGAGATGGGGTAGCGTGGCTATACAGGAGCAGCACAAGGGAGTCCTGTGATGGTGTGGTTAACTAGCTTGATTGTGGTGGATTTACACAAAACCAGGCACACACAAAGGAGTGCATGTATAACTGGTGAAATTCCGATAAACTCTAGGGTTATACCAATGTCAGTTTCCTTGTTTTGACATTACAGTATAATTAGGCAAGATGTTGGCACTGGGGGATGCTGGATGAAGGGTACTGTGGACTTCCCTGTAAATTTCTTTGCTTGTCCAGTTAATCCATACTTTTTTTAAAAGGTTAAAAAACAACAATTTAAAAAATAGGGTGCAAAACATACATCATATGGTTATTCTGAGGATTCAACGAGTTAATATAAAGCACTTAAATAGCATCTAGTACATAGTAAACCTTCAATATATGTTGTGATTTTATTACTACTACATGCGGGACACTGGGAGTGCCCATATAAATAGCTCACAGTCTCTGTTTTTGAGGAGTTGCTAATCCAGCAGAAGAGAAAGACCCAGCAAAGAGAGACTTTTAATAGAATGTGCTGACTGTGCTCAGTTCATGGGAGGAGTTCTCAGGGCTTTAGGGAGGGTTTCCTGGAAAAGATGCCACTAGAGCTGAGTATTGAAGTCTGGTAAGAGTCAGCCAGGAGAGGAGACTATGAAGGGCACCCAGGCAGAAGGAACGGTCTGAGAAAAGCTCAGAGGTGTGAAGCCACGTGAGATGGCTGAGCAACTGGGGACAACTGCTTTAACTTGGGCATCTGGGAGGCAGTGAGGGCTGGAGGAAGAGGCTGGCAAAGTAGGCAGAAGCCACGCCAGGGAGGGTGTGCATGTCTCAAGAGCTCGCACGTTATCCTCCTGGAGTCTGCGGTGAGAAGCCACTGTCTTCCCTCAGCTTTGACCATCCTCGTTCCTCACTCTGTGGACTCTCTGGGCACTCCTGTTCCAGAGTACTCCATTCCTGGCGTGGAATGAATCCTCATAGACCTATGAAGATCTGAGAAAAGCAAGAGGCCAGTGCTGGCCCCACCAAGCTAACTTGGTCTGCTCCAAACCAAACTGCACATGACATTCCAGACCCACCTTCTTCCCAGCCCCTGTGGGTGGTGGTGTTTGTTTGTGGTGCCACTCCCCCTTCCACTACTGTGGATAATTTGAACTTGCAGCAGTCTCTTTTCTATAAAGCGTGGATATGCAGCAGTAGAGATAGCACGGAAAGGCCAGGTGTGGTGACTCACACCTGTAATCCCAGTACTTTGGGAGGCCGAGGCGGGCAGATCATTTGAGAACAGGAGTTCGAGACCAGCCTGGCCAACATGGTGAAACCCCATCTCTACTAAAAATACAAAGATTAGCCGGGTGTGGTGGTGCGTGCCTGTGGACCCAGCTACTTGGGAGGCTGAGCTAGGAGAATCACTTGAACCCGGGAGGCAGAGGTTGCAGTGAGCCAAGATCACGCCATTGCACTGCAGCCTGGGTGACAGAGCGAGACTCTGTCTCAAAAAAGAGCATGGAAGTGGGGCCTGAGTACCAGGCTCAAGTCTAGCTCTTCACTGATCAGCCATGTGACTGTGGGCAAGCCACCACTCCTCTCTGGGCTGCAGTTTGCTTCACTGTGAAACAGGCGATCATAATACACACCCCAGCTTCCTCATGGGTGTGGCTCTAAGGACAGAGAAAAAAATCGAACACGATAATATATGTGAAAGAGTTTTGTAGGTTGTAAATAGTTTTTCTTCTTGTTTTTGAGACAGGGTCTCACTCTGTTGCACAGGCTAGAGTGCAGTGGTGCTACCCTAGCTCACTGTAGCCTTGACTTCCAGGGCTCAAGCGAACCTCCTGCCTCAGTCTCCCAAGTAGCTGGAACTACAGGCTCTGGCCACTACACCTGGCTAATTTTTAAATCTTTTGTAGAGATGGGGTCTCACTATGTTGCCCAGACTGGTCTTGAACTCCTGGCCTCAAGTGATCCTCCCACCTCAGCCTCTCCAGAGTTCTGGGATTATAGGCATGAGCCACTGCGCCTGACTGTAAATAGCTTTTCACACGTGAAAGATTAATGCTATTGTTCCTGAAAAATCTATTGGTGAGGAGGAGCCTACACTGGAAACTCAAAGTGAATGACTTTTGAATCTTTGGTTGGGGAAAGACAGGGAAGGGAAGGGAGCAGGAGTATGGTCTTCTGGTCTACCAATGCCACACACAAGGAATAGCTTTCCTTTCGGACTTTTTCATGGATCCTTTTTGTATTTAAAGACCTCTCATGGATGAATTCACTATCCCAAGATTTTCTGAAGCCAAATCTGTGCCAGACACCAATGATACAATAATACAACAGATAGGGTCTCTACCCTCATAGAGTCACAGCCTAGTGGCATAGATGGACATTTCTCTAATAAGCCCTAACTGTATAATTAGATATCATCATGTGTGTTATGAAGAAAGCATACAGGACATTGTGAGAGTGTTTAACTGGGGCCTGGTAAAATTCTGAAGGTACAGGGATGCTTTTCTAAGGAAGGGCTACTTGAGCTGAGATCTGCAGGATAGCTAGTATTTAGGGAGGAGAAGGAAGGGATGGGAAGAGTGATTAAGGGCCAGGAAACAGCACGTGTGAAGGCCATGAGGCCAAAAGGAGCTCAGCAGTCAGAGCTGAAAAAGGCCAGGGTGCAGAGTGCAGAGCATGAGGGAGGGGAGTGGGGATGCCTCAGTGCAGGCACAGGTCAGATACCACAAGGGACCATCCCACTGGCCATCCTAAAGAGCATGGGAATCACTTAAGAGTGTTGAGAGTACAACATAATGTGACTAGGTCAGATTTGTGTCCTTAAAAGGTCAGTCCAGCAGCAATTCAGAGACCCAGTTACCAAAGCCAGGGAACATTTTTTAGTTCTCAGAAGCATTTCCACTCGTTTTTTTTTTTGTTTGTTTGTTTTTTTCTGACACTTTCTTTTCCCTTGGCTTCTCTGACAATTGGAGATGCAAGAGTGGATACAGCCATACCAATGAGAAGGTGATTCCAGCAGCCTGAGGAAAAGGCAAAGTCAGCCTGAACTAGTGTGGAGGCTGTGGAGATGGGGAGGAGTGGAGTGGATGGACCCAGGTGCTGTTTAGGAGGTAGACAGGGCCTGGTGATGGGCTGGATGTAAGGCGGTAGAGAAAAGGGAAGAGCTGACAGTGACTCCCAGTTGATGGCGTGCAGAACTGAGGTTTGAGGTTATGCCATTCACAAAACAGGCAGCACTGGAGGAGGATCAGGCAGCGGGTGAGAAGGCAGTGGGAGATGTAGCAGGAGAATCACGACTCTGGCTTTCAGTATGTCAAGTCTGAGGTTTCTTGAGACATCCAGCTTAGTCAGCTAGGCAGGTGAATATAAGGATATGGGGCTCAGAAGAAAAGACACCAACTAGGAAGCTGGGTGTCATCTGCATGTGGATGACAACGGAAGCCGTTCGTGTGGCTGAGATGGCCCAGGGACAGAGTATCCAATCAGAAGAGAATACCTTGAGCCAGACCATAAGGAACACCAACATTTAAAGATCAAGACGGGAAGGATGAGTCAGCAAAGACGACTCAGGAGTACCAGAGAAGCCAAGAATGTGGGGTCAGAGAAGCCAAGGGAAAAGAAAGTGTCAAAAAAAAAAATGAGTGGAAAATGCTTCTGAGAACTAAAAAATGTTCCCTGGCTTTAGCAATCTGGAGAGCTGCTTCAGCAGAGTGATGGGGGAGGAAGCCAGACTGAAGCAGGGCTGGGGAAGGAGTGGGTAGCACAGAGATGGAGAATGCTGTTGCAGCCAACCCTTTCAGACATTTGGCTTGTACGGAGAAGAGAGACAGTGTGGTGGCAGCAAGTGGAGTCGGGCTTCAGGAAGGTTTTTGTTGTTGTTTTGCTTGTTGAAGACATGAGAAACTTGAGCATGGTGAGAAGGCTGTTTCTGAGAAGGCAGAGGAGAGGACCTAGAACATGGGTGGTGGAAGAACTGGCCTGTGATGGCCATGCTGTGGCCTCTGCAGACACAGGAGGGAAGGAGGAGAGGACTGGCCCAGAGGCAGGTAGTTTGGGGGTTTGGTGGGGATAAGTTGGGGAGTTCTGCCTGGTGACTTCTCTTTCTCTGTGAAGTGGGAGGTGAGGTCCTCAGCTGAGCATGAGGGTGGAGGCAGAGGTTTGGGGAGGAAGGTGTGAAATAGTCATTGTGGAGACTGAGGGGAGACAGAACCAGAGGAACGTGGTAGGAACACCAGGCACTTTTGAAGAGCAAGCTGGGTTGGTGATGGTGAGTTTGTAGAAGTAGCAATCTGTTTGTGTGTTTGTGTGTGTGTGTGTGTGTGTGTGTGTGTGTGTGTCCCAGCGGGTCCAGATTCCTGAATGCAGGTAGAAAGAAGCAGATAAAGCAATTAATCCAGAACAGGGACTTGGTCAAACTAGGACAATAAAAAGACAGAGGCTCAAGAGAGTTTAGGATATTGGCAGGAGGATTCTTAAAAATGATGGACCATGGCCTCTATCTGGACTCAGAGAAGGGAAGGCAGAGGAAGGTAATTGATGGTAAAAAAAAAAAAAAAAAAAAAAAAAAAAGCAAAGGTGCCAATGGAGCAAAGTTCCCAAAGAGATTAAAGAGTGGGGGTGTCATAGAACCCTCCCACTGCTAAATTTGACTGGCTAAAAAATAAGTGGTGGTGTGGGAGTCCTTGGACAAGCAAGCTGGGAAACTAAAAGGTGTAGAAGGTGATGACCAGAAAGTTGGGTACTCTGCTAGGTAATTTTCAGGGGATGGCAAGATACAGAGTGTGAACTTGCAAGTGAGTGGCTGAGATAGGTGAGCCCGTGAAGGGACTGTTGGGTCTGGGGTAGAAGAAGCTGTCCACATCGTCACTAATCTCACCCAGGATGATGGACAGACATACAGTTGGAAAGGGAGAAGGTCTATGGGCACACGCCAAAGGCTTCCCTGAATGAAGAGGGTGGCTAGTGAGAATAAAGGTGAGTGGGGAGGATGTCGCCTTATTTTGCGAGATTTGGGGAATAATCGTGTCTTAGAGACATTACATTCTCTTGCACATGAAGTAGCCCCTCCAGGGTGAAAGATCAGGAAAATCAGTGGAAGAAGGAGTCTTGAGAAGAGGTAGTAGGTATAGCACAAAGCCAGAAGTTAGGAGCTTTCTGTCTAGTCCCAAGGGCACTAATACGCTATGTGATCTCAAGTCCTTCCCCCTCCCCATTGCTTAAGTTTCTCATAGATTAAAAATAGATCGGGAGGACCGGCTAAGATAGGGCTCCCCAAGTGGGGCTAGGGAGCAACAAATGGGTACAGGTGTGCTGAGATCATGACCCTTTAGCCCTTGGGTCAATTGGGGTCCCTGAGCCATTATCACTGTGTTTCTGTGCTATAATGTGAATGAGGACAGTGAGAAAGCAGTGGGACAGATGCTCTCCAGGGCCCCAGCTATCTCTGACGTTCTGTTTGCACATCTCTGTCGCGCCGTCTTGGAGGAGGCTGCATGGAGGCTGATAGAAGAACAGACAGACTCCTGCTGCAGGCAGAAGTCCATCTGCTGGCAGAGATAGAAGCCAAGTTTCCTAGCTCCCTCTTGCTCTCCTTCCCTCCCTCCCAGCACTAGTTGAGGGAGCTGTGATCTGCTCAGATGCCCAGGTGAGAGCAGGTGCACCTTGCTCCTCTTCCAGCTGATAGTTGGGTGGTCACCGGCCCCCTCAAGCCTCAGTAGCAGCTTGTGAAAGTGAAGGAGCGACCACCCACTAGTTCCATCAATCATCCGCTTCATCCAGCTCTAAAAACAGACTCACCATTTCTCAGAAGCTGGGCAGCATATCTCACTGCACACCATCCAGACAGAGCCTTCACAATGCAGATCTTTCTCTTAGGGCCAGCCACTTCTCAGAGATCCACGTAAGATCCACATACATGGTTGACCGAGGGCCACCCCCTCTCTGCTACTAGCCTTCCGAAGGGCCCTCCCTCTCCCTCTGTCAGATGATATATGCTTAGAGAATGCACCAGCAACTTAAATTCACCCTAATCATAAAACACCAGGAAAGACCCACTTGGCCCTGTACTTTGTGCACAGTAGATGTTCAATAAACATTTACTGAACTAAATGAAGACTATTCTCAAATATTTAAAAAACAATACCCTACCAAGTCTATCAGAATTCTTTAAATTATCCATCACATTATTCCTGTTTATTTGGGTAGATAATTAAAAGATGACTTTTTAAGTTCTTTAATATTTATTGGTACCTACTGTGTGCCAAGCATTTTACAAGCATGAGCTGGTTTCATTTTCACAACCCTGTGAACTGGGTGTGTTAAACCCATTTTATAGATAAGTGAAATGAGGCTCAATGAGAGACTGAGACACGTCCAGGGTCATAGAGCTGGGAAGCAGAAGCCACAGGATTCTAACCCAGATGGATCCAACTTTCAAGAAGGTGCTCTCTTCAGCACATCAGGCTGCTTCCCACAAACGCACAACAGATTGCAGCATCAAGAGTGACCGAAAGAGACAGAGGCAGCAAAGTTGTATGCAGGAAGACTGCAGCCACACAGTAAACCTGAGGCTTCCCACTGCCTTGCCCTGGGGAAATCGTTCTGAGGTTGGCTAAGCTTTGCCGAAGAAAAGTGGAGAGGGGTCTGGCCCCTGCTCCTCTCAGCCCCTGTGATTGCTAGGCTGGTTCTCCCCCTCCCTGCTTTTCCCCACTACCCAAGTGATCTGGCATTTCATTTAGGGCTGCCCTGCTTGGTTCTTTGAGTGTGTGAGAGGCCTAGAAGCAGCAAGGATCTGTCCTTGGATACTCTACTCCCACCCCTCTCCCCACAGGACCAAGTGACTCCTGGGCCCAGGTACCCTTTTGTTCTCAGGGCCCAGGAAACAGATAGGAGAGTGGTGGAAAACATGAGTGGTCTGACCTGCCACGTTTGAATGCGGCTGTCAGCCCCCCATGCCTGCCCAAATCTGCCTGACAGGTGAGCAGCTGTGCACCATATCTGTCTGTCCATCTGTCTCCCTCTCAGGGGCCTGCAGAGAGCCAATACTCCTCAGGGAGGGGAGGCCCTGGACCTGAAGCAGCTCCCTTACTTTGGATGTTACTCAGCAGGGACTAGGAAGGGTGGGGCAGGATAAGTGTGCCTCTGTCCCCATCCAAAATCTGACCCACCCCCCACCACCAACTGCCAAGTCCCCCTCACTGCCTCCCCTCCCCTCCCCTCCTCACTACTCTCCCAGCTCTTCCTGCCAAGCTCTGCAAATTACCACACATGCCAATAAGTCATTAGAAACCAGAACGGCAAATGTGAGGTTGCCATGGAGACCAACACCGGGGAGCTGGCAGCCCTGGGGGCCGGCCGGTGGCTCAGGTGTGTTTCAGGGAGAGCTGGGAAGGTCAAAATGCCTGGCAGAGGGTATACGCACTACTGGGGCACTGATTTTAGGCAAGGATCTGCCTCTGCCTGCTTCTCCTCTCCCTTCCCTCCCACAGCCCTGGGTCCTGCCCACCTGCAGCTTGTTATGGGTGATAAATGCTGCATAAGCTTCACGAGGGCAGGTGCAGCCTGGGCCAGTGGGCTGGGTCCTCTCCTTTCCCAGAGCTGTGTCTCCACTCAGAGCAGGTGGCTGTGAGAAAGCCCACCTGGTGACCAGTTCCAGGACAAAGAACACGGACAGATCTGAGCAACCTGGGCTGGCTGCGGATGTTTGGAGAAAGCTGAGGCCCAGGAAGGGGCTGAGGTCAGGACTGGAACTCAGAGCTGCTCATCTTCCTGCGCCAGTGCTCACGTCGCCTCTGCCCAGTTCTTAGCACAGTGCTTGGGCCTTTATATGCACACGTTTGTTGAAAATGTAAAAATATACACATACAATTGTTGTAACGGACGAGTTCATGAGAGAATTCATGTAAGCATCTGGGATTTCTGACAAAACAGGAGTGGACCGTGGGTTGCAGTCCCGGCTCATCCACTAACTCAGCATGACCTCACACAAAACCACTCCTTCCTGGGCCTCGATTTCATTGTCTGGAGAATTAGCAGGTTGCATTTCAGACACGCTGTATTTCAAACCAGGCTTCTCGGAGCCACCGAGTTCTGAAGCAATCCCTCCGGGGTGGCTGGGAGGTCAGAAGGAGGCCAACTGGGTTCTGGTCCACCGCTTGGCTTTTGCCTTGTATTTAGTTTCCTGATGCTGCTGTGAGCAAAGGACCACAAACTTAGTGGCTATAAACAACACAGATGTATTCTCTTACAGTTCTGGAGGCCAGAAGTCCAAAATGGGTCTCCCCGGCTTCAAGCTAGGTGTCGGTAGGGTTGTGTTTCTTTCTGGAGGCTGGAGGAGAGACTCTGTTTCCTGGACTTTCCCAGCTTCTTAGACAGGAATCTAGAGGCTGCCCACAGGCCCTGGCCCATGGCCCCTTCCATCTTCAACACCAGCACTGGCAGGTCCAGCCTTTCACACATGGCATTACCCAGATGCTGACTTCTGCCTCCTTCTTCCACCTTTAAAGGACCCATGTGATTACACTGGGCCCACCCAGATAATCCAGGATAATTTATTCTTAAGCCAGATATCAGCAATCTTCTTTCTCCCTTGTCATGGAACATAACATATTCACAGGTTCTAGGGATTAGTATATGGACATCTTAGGGGGCCCATTATTCTGCCTACCATACATTGAAAAATGGATTAACTTCTGTAAATGTTTGAAAGCCACAGAACCAGAGCGCTTCCTGTTGCCATCAGTTCTGATGCACTATGACCTAAGCTCTTCTCCTTTTCTCCATGGGGGATATGCAGAGGAACTCTGGGTCTGCCCATCAGAGGTGAATGTTGGCAGGCTTAGGCTGTTTTGTGGGCTGTGCAGAGAGATGGGTCTCTATGCCCACCAGAAAAGAGGTCTCCGGGGAGGAAAGAATGAGGACTGTTTTAGGGGAATGGCCCTGTCTCAGCTCCTTCACCTCCATTCCCTATATACCCTGAAATTCAGATGACCCTGCAGTTGTCTGCTCATTTTTATTTCCATGCAAGGTTACATGGAGCCGTGTGTGTGTGTGTGTGTGTGTGTGTGTGTGTGTACCCACCCATGCACACTTTACCTGTTGCAAAAGGCATGCCAATCTAACAGTCATAAAGGTGAGATAGCATCTTGTCTTTCCACACTTTGACCTTCAACACTGTCCTCTTCCAAGATTCATGAACAGTCCCAGATTGTTTAGAACAAACTCTAGATACAGTAGCTAAGCTCAGAAAACATAGGATCTTAGACCTTTCTGAGCTTTGTACTGCTTCTGCTAGCAACTTTCCAGGCCCATAATGATCAACTCTCGCCTCTGCAGGTGAGACAGGCTCTTTCTTGACCCTGGGGGAGATGATGGCCTCTCATTCTTCCATACAGCATAACCTCTGTTCTCATCTCTGCAAGACACCCTCTGCCAACTGCTTGGGACCCAGTGGGGCTCAATAACTTCTATGAGCAAGGTGCCCTGGGCATTAATCACAGCCCCGGTGTTTTATGATTTTATGCAAATTACTCACCTCTCTTAGCCTTATTTTCTTCCCTCGGTATAAACTGGCAGCTCATTCCCATTCCCACTTCTATCATATGTCCCAGGGGATCCCGGAAAAGAAATGTGATGAGGTAGGAGAACCCTATTCTCTAGAGGAGTGGCCCTGGGGAAATTGAGAAAAGGAACTAACATTTATTGAGCTTCTACTTTGTAGCAGGTACTTTACACAGATTAGCTCATTTAATGTGGTAGTTGAGAATCAGGGCTCTGGAGTCAGAAAGATTTGGGGGCTGAATTCTGGCTCTGCCACTTGCTGGCTGTGCATGGCCTCCAGGCTTTAGTTTCCTCAACTGCAAAATGGGGGAAAATAATATCTACTTCACAGCGTTATGTGGACGAAATGAGACAAATGCAGTGAAGCTTCTGGCACCTCATAAGCACTCAATAACGTTAGCTCTTATTATTATTAACAACCCTAGGAAGTGGATGTTATTAACTCAGATTTACAGATGAGGAAACTGAGGCTCGGAAAGGTTAAGATGCCCAAGGGCAGGTGGCTAGGGACTGTGAATTCTGACCCAATGCCAACTGATTCCACTTCCTCTGGATTGTAAGCCATAAGGACAAAAGCCCCAGGGTCAGCCTCTGCGTCTTCCAGGGGGTTGTGCTGGGGTACAGCGGGTGTGCCCCCCTTTCTCATGGGGGCTGGGGGCAGGGAGGAGAGCATCGCCCCCCATGTCTTGGGTGGGTGAGGGCACTACCAATGGATCCTAGTCTACTCCACTCTGGTGATCTCTCTCTATACTTCAGAGGTGAGTTCATATCCCCAAGATCCAGGGAGAGGACACACTCACCCCTCATGGGGGTGGAAGTTTGCTCATTTTGGTGCAATTTTATTTCCAGTTCACAATATCTGAAACGACCAGGAATGTTATAGGAGTAACCTACCAAACAGGAGCCCACCCAGGCAGTGAAAGGAAGGGAGAAGAGAAGCTGCTGCAGCCTGGGTAGATACATGGAGCCTAAGGGAATTCCAGAGAACATGGCTCCAGACACCAGTGAACTAAGAGGCCGAGATTCCCAGCATGCAGACCTGGGACAACGGCCGGAGCTGGAAATGGGACTCCATGAAGCCAGAGGACTTCCAAGATCAGAGATCATCTGGTCTCGGGCAGGAGAGGGCAAGGACACTGGATAATGGATTTCCTTCTGGAAAGGGTGGCTTTCCGTGTCTCTGGAAAGAGTACAGGGGGCATTGGAAACCCAGGTGGGAGGCAGGGACTGCTCAGAGACAGAAGACCCTGCCCTTGCACGTTGCCACGTGGGCTGCCTTACTCCCACTCAGTGACCTCCCCTCCAGCAGCACCACCCTTCTCTCCTCTCACCCTGCCAGCTCCAAGTTCTCCGTGCGAGAATCCTTCCCACTGCAGAGTCGAATCTACTCCATTTTCCAAGCCTAAATCAGCCGCGCCCCCCTGAGGAAGCGTTCCCTATATAACTCCCACACAGAGCTCACAGTTCTGATAACATTTATAGTCTAAATCACACAGTTTAGCACTCGGTTTTAAATACTGTCTGGTATTATTCCCTCATTATTTCTTGTGAGTGTAAGTTCTGCCTCCCCAGCTGATCAGTAGGTTTCCTTACCAGTAAAGACTGTGTCCTGTGCTTTTTTATTTCCTTCCCAACCTCACACCCCACACTGCCTAGGACAGTGCTCAGAGCATCCTTGGTGGGGATGTACTGATTGGCTGAAACAGCTCCAATGGCTGCAGAGGGCAACCAGGCAGCACTTCCTGACTAGCCGCTGAGGGAAAAGCTGGAATGGATGGCCAACGACCAGTGGTGTTAAAAAGTCAAATCATGCCGCCCCAGGCTCCAACCCTGCAAGAGCCCATCTTACTCTGAGGAAAAAATCCCCCTCCTCACCAGCTCCAGACCTCTCCTAGAGCTAACCTCCTCCTGACCCTCTGACTTTATCTCCTGCAACTCTCTGCCCTCACCACACTCCAGCCACGCCAGCCTCCACGCCGCCTCTGACTCTCCAGGCACAGCCCTGCATCCCTGCCCTTGCACCTGCTGTCCCCTCTGCCCAGCTTGCCCCGACTGTGGTGCCACCCCCTCATCTCTCCTCAGATATCACCTTCTCAGTGAGGTCTCTGTAGCCACCCTGCACAAGATAACAAACTCCCCCTCTCCCAACTGACTCTTCCATTTCCCTTCCCTGTTTTTTCTCTTTAGCACTTACCAGCCTCCAATGTGCCATTTCCTTTATGAGTCTATTTTACTGCATCCCCAGACAATAAACTAAAAGCTCCTGAAGGGCAGAGGTCTGTCTGGTCATTCACTGCTGTCTGCCCTCAGTGCCTGGCTACATGCCTCACAAATACTTGCTGAACGAAGAGACTCCAGCCCCATCCCATGTCTGAGATGGCTGAGGCCTGGTGGCGCTCGAGATGGGCAGTGGACAGGATGATTCTGCAGGTCCCCTCGCAATGTAGATTCCACCATTCAACCCCTGGGCCCAATTCTGGGCAGGCACTTTCTCAGGCTCGAGGCCTGAAGCTGTCTGAGCCCCAGCAGAAGGCAGGGGAAGAGGAGTGGTGACAGCCAGGCAGGGTGAAGTGTCAAATTCTCTCTTTCCTCCTACACAGCTTTTAAATGTCTCACTTCCCACCAGCTGGCCCTCTGTGGTCATTCCCCCTTCTGGGCATCACCACCTCTGCCCTCCCAAGCCAAAGACAGATACTTTCATCGACCACGTTTGAATGCTTATTTTGAGAACATTTTAGAGAGCAAAGTAACCTTTGCTGCCTTTCTTTTCTCTTCCTCCTTTTTCCTTCCCCCTGAAAAGATCAGATAGGACAGACCCATTCTTCCTGGGGAACCCAGGCTGGTTGCTAATAATCACTGCCCTGCCCCCTTCTTCCATATGTTTTTCCCTGAAGAAGCTGCCTTGTGAGATGTTTGTAAATAGGAACAATTGTACCTGTTCTTCCTGAAATACACGAGTCTGCCTTGTTAGAGCTATCCCACTGACAGCACAAATCCCAAGCCTTCCCCATCTCTCTCCACCTTATCTGGAGTCTAGGCCCCATTCTCACGTCTCCCAGCAAGCCACCCTTGCATTGGTTCCCACCATGTGTCCATGGGCACTGACTCTTAAGGTCCAGCTTCTCTGAGGATAGTGGCTCCATGTGGCCCCGAGGCACTTAGCTGAGACAGAAGGAAACAATGTTGGATCTTAAATATCACACCCTGCAGGAGCAGGAGGAAAAAAAAGGTCACAGAGACCCTCTCTGAAGATCCCGAAAAGGAGACAGGCAGCCACTGGCTTGGGCAGGGCTGGCTTAGGGGACTTTCTTCCTGGAGGGAGGGAAGGAGGAGAATGGGCTGGATGTCCCAGAGCACCCTCCAGGCCCAAGGAACACCAGATTCCGGGGTGGTGAAGAAGCAGGAGGAGTCCTAAAGTCAGAGAGAAGGGCTAACTCCCTCCCTTGGATCTTTCCTAGCTATATGTCCTTGAGCAAGTCTGAGTCTGTTTCTTGGCTTTTTAGGTTAGGGATAATGAGAGTTAACTACCTATCTAATAGGGGTACTTTTGAAAGCTTAATGGGATAATGCAGGTAAAGCAGTTGGCACAGTGCCTGGCACACAGTAAATGCTCAATAAATGCTGGGTATCATAATTAGTGTTGTTACCACGTGAGAGGTAGAAGCTGAGAAACAGTTATTGCCCCAGGAACCCTCTGTCTGCACTTTATCTTGGAACTCGCTTCAGGTCCATCAAATGCTGAGTAGCAGGGAAGGTGTGGGTGCAAGAAACACACAGAAAAAAACGAATTCCAAACCAAACCTGGTTAAACTCACCTCCTAAAAGGCAGCCCCCTCAGGCCAAGGCGTCTCCCAGGTCCCTAAGAAGTGCCAGAAGGCAGAGTGCAAGGCCTAGCAGCTCTGGGTTTGGAGCAGAGTCTGCTTGATGCGGGCTTAGAACGTGCAGGAGCCCAAGGTCATGAGGCTAACCCCCAGCAGGGATGCACCAGGTCCCCTGCACCAAGACATGTGGGAATGTTCTGGGCGACCAGCCAGCCCCACTGGAAGCCCAGCTCCCAGCTCTGGAGAAAAAGAGGCTGAGAGGGACGTGTCAGCGGTGATGGTGACATTCACAAAGAGCAATGAACACATACACACCCTGGTATCTTTTCATGCACGATACCTGTGCCCCAAATACCCTCATCACCTGTGTCCCCAGACCCACCATCTCTGCCTGGTTGACTCTTTTTCAAGCCTTGGTTCAAATATCACATCATTTGGCAACCCTTTCCTAATCCGCAAACAGCAAACAGAGAGTCACTTTTTTTTTTTTTTTAAAGACAGAGTCTTGCTCTGTTGCTCAGGCTAGAGTGCAGTGGTGTAATCTCAGCTCACTACAATCTCCGCCACCTGGGTTCAAGTGATTCTCCCGCCTCAGCCTCCCAAGTAGCTGGGATTACAGGTGTGTGCCACCACGCCCGGCTAATCTTTGTATTTTTAGCAGAGATGGGGTTTCACCATTTTGGCCAGGCTGGTCTTGAACTCCTGACCTCATGTGATCCACCCGCCTTGGCCTCCCTAGGATTACAGGTGTGAACCACCAAGCCTGGCTGAGAGTCGCCTTTTTATCTGCTTATCCCTATAGTCCAACACTTGTTTCATTATTGTCTATGGGACTGACTCCCCCATCTAATAATAATAACAATAATAATATTACTTACATAGCACTTACTATATATATACCAGATACTGTTCTAAGCTCATTACATGTATCACCTCATGTAGTCCTCATGACAGCTTTATGAAGTAGGTACTTTTATTATCCCATTTATAGATGAGGAAACTGAGACGAAGAGAGGTTACGTGACCTGCTCAATGTCACCCAGCTAGAAGTGGTGAAGCCTGGATTTGAACTCCAGCTGTGTGGCTCTAGAATCTCTACTCTGACGGTGAACTCCTTGAAGGCAGGGACATCTGATCTGTCTCTTTGTCCCCTGCACCTAGCACAGAGCCAGGCACACAGTAGGTACTTAGAAAAGATGGGTTGACTGAATAAGCAAATGCCTGATTGAGGCTAACTTGGTGAAATTTCAGCCTCTGAGCTGTAGGCCACGGAGACCCAGGCCCCGCACTGGAAAGTAACAGATAAAGGCATCTTTCTGACTCGTCCTTTCAGCAATCTAATCACATGCTGCTGTCTTTTTTGCATATCTCTTGTCTTCGGTTTTGTTTTGTTGTCTTTTTTAGCTACTTCATTTTTGTCAAAAGTGTTTTTTGTTTCTCAGTTTATCTTCTGCCTTTGTCTTCCTTCTCTTCTGTTCCTTGGTCACTCTCCCCATTCCTGCCCCATTCAAGCCTCCAACTATGGTCCTTGTCCTTCCCTGGAGTCCTTGTAGGCTTGAAAGCTTCTAGTCCCCATCCTTTATCTTGGAGCTTTTATAAAGAGTCCAAGCCATATAGATTAAGAACACAAGTGACATTTATTCATTAGATGGGCCATAGATCAAGCTTCTATATCCTGACCCTGAGTCAATTCTACCTGAATGCAGGTGGGGTGTGGGATGAGGGACTTCCTGCCTACAAGTTGTCACATACCTGTGTAGGATGACACAGGAAAAGTCATTGCCCTCCCTGCCTCCTCATTCAGGGTCCCAGTTCCTTCAGGAAGCCTTCCTTGATCACTTAAGAAAGCTTATTCACACAACCGTTCAGCAAATCCTTATACATATTAATAGTCTAACTGGGAGATAAGGCCCCATGAAAAGTTAGGTTAGAATGTAAGCCTTAGTATAAGTGTACAAGTTACCAGATGTCACAGATATCATAGGGCCAAATCAACTGCAGATACAAGTGATTTCAAAATGGAGATCTATATGACCCGGAGCAAGTGGTTTCTCCTCTCCAGGCCTCAATTTCCTTGGCTAGGAAACAGGGGATGGTAATGCAGACATTAGAAGGTTGTCAGCACGACTGAACAGAATAACTTTTGTAATGTTCCTCACATAGACTGGTGCATAATAGGTATTCAATAATAAATTTGATTCCTTCCCCCTTCTCTGTCTGAAGCACCAGCCTTCTACTTGCCCTGGGCTGCCAGATAAATGGTGAGATGTGACCTGGTCCATCCTTTCAGGTCAGAAAAGTATCCTAAGGACAGGATGACTTAAGCGGTACCTGGCATGTTAGAGGTCACTCAGTGTGATAATTCACTAGCATTGTTCATGTTCCTCACCTCTGCCCCCTCAAGCTGTGGGTCTTTGAACGAGCCTGGTGGGAACAGAGCTAATCAGCTGGCAAGTCCAGATACAAGTGTGGTCAGCTTGAGACATGGAGGTTTGTTTACCGCTGTATCTTCAGCTTCTAAAATCATGAGAGGCACACAGTAGGCACTCAAGAAACAGTTGTTGAATGAATACATTTTTTTAAAAGCCATGGAGTTTCCTTTTCCTTTCAAATAAACGACATAAGGGTGTGGGGAGTAGAAGGGGGAGGTGAGTAAATGACAGGGTTCAAGGGACACCAGGGCCAGGCAAATGCAGCTGCCAGGCCCACCAGCCCAGGCTCCTCTGCAAAAGGGATGCAGCAAAGTCAACAGTGCATGTGCTCCCACTGGCAGGATGAGCAGGAGTGCGTGCACGCCTGGCTTACGGTTTAAGCTGCAGTTTACAGGAGAAGCAGGGCAAAGTGGAGACAGAGCCTGGGAAGAAAGGGAGATATCTGGGGAAGAATGAGGAGGGTGAGAGAAGAGGAAGAGCAGTGTGAGGGGGAAAAGGGAAGTGAAGAGTGTTAGAGGAGGAAAGTGAAGAGTGAAGGAAGGAGAGGAGGATGAGGGGGAGGAGGAAGAGGGGAGGCACAGGGAAAATAGGATGGGAAGTGAGGAAGAACTGTGTTGAATTAGAGAGGGAACCTGCTGTACTAGCCTGGATGGAATTAGCAGATCTCTGAGATCTTACTGCCACTCGGTGTTTCCCCGGGAGGAGACTGCATTAGGGAGAGGGTGTGGATTTGGGGGTGTTCCTAGGTGCCAGACCCTGGGCAGACCTCAATCTCCCAGGCACTGAGGCCTTTAGTTCCATGCTTTGCAAATAATGAGGACCCATCCCAGGACCAGAGAGAGCCCTCCGCAAGAAGGAGAAGCCTGAGTCAGCACAGGGGAAGGAAGAAGGCCTAGGAGGCTCAGATCCCTAGCTCTGCCCTTCTGTTTCCATCGTTTCGCCACAACAGCACCTGGCCAGGAAAGTGGGTCAGGCCACCCACATGTGGCTTTTTCTGGTAGCCACAGGGCCCAAAGGCAAGGGGGCTCCAGTGCCCAGTGCAGAGCCCACCTCTACCCTCCATGCCCAGTGCTCTTTTTTGAAGGGATCTTTAAGAAGCAGTGGGCAATGGGAGGAGCTCCTGGCCTTCTTATTCAGGGACAAAACGCTGGGCCAGAGCCCATCCTAGACTGGCGGGAAAGGGGGGCACGGAGCCTGCCATCGGCCTGGGTGCATGGGGAGACCTACATCTTCCCCTATGACAGTGACCAAACTGGCAGGGAGTCACCTCTACTGCCCTGACCTAGGGAGGCTGTTCTCCTCACCACCCTAGGTCCTGGAGTTCTCAAGCAGAGGGCCTGTCAGTCCATCTCTGGCAACTGAGCGCTGTGCCCAGCCCACCCCCTCCAACCCTGCCAGTCGCCCAGTTAGAAGCTGCGTTGGCTCCAACAGATGGGAGCTGCGGCAGCCTGAGGAACAGAGCACAAAGCCCAGCTGACATTTTCCTTCCTGTTCGTTTGGGTGGGGGAGGAAGGGTAGGGAGCACAGTGCTACCCCCGGGGCCCCTCCCCAGGTTCCGGGTCTCCTGCACCTCTTTAGCTTCTCCGCTCGGCCCCAGATGGAGCTCAGTTCCCTCACCCCGCGGCTCCTCGCCGGCTGGGCAGCCAGAGCCTGCGCCACCCTTTGCCAGCAGGACAGACGGCCCACCTGTGGCTGGCCAGCCCATCCTGTCTCCTGGGTCCTGCGGTGGGCTCAGAGCCACCCTTCCGTTTCCGCTTCCCCCTGACCGAGTCCCCAGGCTGAGCCCCAGGCCGGCCCATCCCCCACCCCAAAGGTCCCATCCCAGGCTGCGGTCGGACCCCAGCCAGCCGGCCCGGGAGGAGCCTAGCTCCTGGTTCCAGATACTTCAGACAGACCCAAGGCCACCTTGTCCCTCCGCACAGACTCGCGAGCTCCAAGGAGGAGAAAGTCCCCAGGCTCTGGAGCGCTTCCAGCCTGCCAGTCCGCCCGTGTCACGCCCTCCCTAACCTCACTGCCACCTCTCGGCTCCTCCACATCTCCAGGGCCCCACTCTACCCAGCAACAGTTTGGGGGAGGTTCTGGCCTCTCCAGGCGAAGGCCCAGGCGCCCTCTCCCTGGCCGCTTCTGGGCATTCTCCAGCCCTCCGTCCCTCTGCCCCTCGGCCGCCTCCCTCTCCCAAGTCTCCGGCTCCCCCGCAGGCGTCTCGGCGGAAGGCAGCGGCCGGCCCTCCTCTGGCCCCCACCCGGGTCAGGCGGAGCTGCGGTGCCGGGGCAGGAGCCAGGAGCCCTGAGGCGGCTGCTCCGGCCGCTCCCGCCGCGTACGCCTCGGCCACGCCAGCGACCTCGGTGTCCACGATTCCCCGGCGGCGGCGGCGCTGCCCAGGTCAGCCCCGAAGCTGCACACTCACCCCGTGGGCGCCGGGCACCGTCTGCCGTCTGCTGCCCGCGCGGCCGCGCTCCGCTCGCCTTCCGCCCGGGGCCGGGCTGGGGACGCTGGTCCGCGCCCTCCCGCCGCGCGCGCCGTCTGCACAGGCCGGGGAGGCTCGGCGGGCGCCCTCCCCAACGTGGAGTTATCCTGGGAGCGGCTCCAGGGCCCAGCCGGTGAGGGCGATGGCAGAATCCCAATCCGTCCCCACCCCCTCTCCGCGCCCTGGGCGCGTCGCGGCCGGAGGCTGGCGGGCGAGAGCCAGGCGCTCCTTGAGAGCGCCGCGCGTTCGCAGGTGCCCGGAGCAGGCCCTCGCGGCGCCCGGCACCCCCTCCACGCGCGCCCCTCTTCCCGGCTTCGCGCTCGCCCTCCTCACTCGCTTCTCCGCCGCTCTCCCAACCTCCCCAGCCCACTCCGGTCGCCTCCTCCCAGTCTGCATGCCACGCCAACCCCCTCCAGTCCCGCTGCCATTTTAACTCCTGAGTGGCCAGAGGCCCCCTCTACCTAACGCACACACACCCGGGAGGAAGGAGTTGGGTGGGGCCAGACGCTAACGCTTGAGCTGTCCTTGTGCCTAGAGACACAAGGCTTGGCTGAGAGAAGGGGCACAGCCCTTGGGTCCGGGAAGAGAAGGGTTGGCTTCTCTCATACTGCCTCGGACCCTCTTGCAAAGGCCAGGAGACGAATGGGGAATTCAGCAGCTTTGTGAGGACAGGTGCAGCTCACAGTCACAGCATGCACCTAAGATCACATTTTTGCTTTGCATGGTGCTACCCTCCCGAAGTTAACAGTGGACTAAGGAATGTAGTGGGGTGGGTGAGAATTTGTCACTGGGCCCAGGCACCTCTCACCCTAAAGAATGGAGTGGAAGACCCCTTTAGTTGTCATGCTTTTCCAGCATTGCATCCTGAGCCGTGCAGCTCTAGCATTCTGGAAGATTCCGTCCTGGCTCTCAATGAAGGAGGTCAATTTCAGTCAGGAACTGGCAGGCCCAGTTAGGGGTTTGGCTTCAGGGTTCCCCACTCTGCCAGCTGGACATCATGAAGACTGGGGGAGGAAAGTAAGAAGGTGCCAAAGGTGGGTGCTAGGCTGCTGCCTGGTGGCTTAGAAAAGCTGGGTGACTGCCACTAGAGGAGGGCAAAGGCCCAATGCCCAACACCCATGCCTTGGTGGGGACTTCAGCCTGGACCACTCAGAACAGACATCACAAACTCGGCTCCATGGCAGGCCACACCCTACTGATGGGTCTGGACCAGAGCCTGCAGAACCAACAACAGGGGAATGGATGAGGTGGAGGCCAAGGTGTGGAGTCCTGTGAGGAGTGGCTTCCCTGGGCTGCCTGCCGTCATCCAGTGCTTGAGCTTCTGGCCCTGTCTTTTCCAAGGGTACAGCCAGTGGTGACTGCCATGCCTGGTGGCTTTTGTGAAGTTGGCTTGAAGGTCTGAGTTCTGTATGCACAGAGGGGATTCTCACCTTCATATATTGAATGAGCACATATTAAGTTCCCACTAAACCACCCCCATGTTCCCACTCTCCACCCCTGCTACGGAGCATAATGGCCTCAAGGAGCTCAGAGTGACAGGTTGGAACTATATGAAACCAATTTTAATATTTCAAGACGATGGAAGTGCCATAGAAATACAAAAAGAAACCACCTTAATGGACTAGCATTATTCACAAAAGGTTTAACGGAGGAGCTGAGTCTCCAACTGAGCCTAGTTGGAGGGATAGGATTTGAACTGGAAGAGAATATGGGGACCAGCAAAGGCAGGAAAGTGGAGACAAGCAGAGTAGAATGGGTTGTCTGGAGGGTAGGGGGCAAGGGAGGAAAATTATAGAGCTACTATTAGATGCCAGCCTTTTCTCATCTCTGTCATCTTAGACTCTGAGTTGACTAATATCCCCTTTTAACAGACCGGGGGATGGAGGCCCAGATCGTTTAAGGCAGTAGCCCAAAATCTGTAGGCAGAATGTGAGACCTCATTTTCACAGTGCGACAATGCCACATTGAGTATACAGGGTGGGAGCAGCTGATGAAGGGCCCGAATTGCCAGGCTCAGCAGTTTATCTGTGGACCCATCCTCAGGTGATTTGGGATGAAAGAGGCAGGAGGATGGGAGACTATTGAGGTAGCTGTTGCAGGAATCTAGGAGGAGGGGAGCAGTGAGAATAGAGTAAATGCATGGGCCTTTGTAAAGAAGACTTGGCAGAACTGTAAGACTGACTGATTGAAAGGGGTCAAAACTTGACTCCAAGCTTTTAGCCTGAGCATTTGAGTCCCTTGTCGAGTCACTGGAGCCACCTTTCCAGTCTAAGGGCCAATGTCAATGTAGACAGGATGATGGTGAAAAGGAGGACATTTTAGGAGTCCTTTACCAACTGCACGACCGGAGAGAGCACTCATGTCAGCACCCCAGCTTCCCAATAACTATGCATACTCAAGTGTCTTATCTCCTAACCAGAGGGTAAGCTTCTGGAGCCTATGACTGTCTTACACCTTAATAAGATAAGACCAGTCCTTTATAGTAGATGTCCAATAACTGATTATTGAAATAATAAATGGGATAAATGCAAGTAACGTTCACTAAGTGGTTGATCCTGAGTGGCAAAGCCTGTGAGATGTACTAGATGAGGCATAAGGGAATTTCATCAGCTGTGAGAAGAAAATAGGGGAAGGCTTATCTTGAGCTGACTCCAAATGTCTTAGAACCCAATGAGATTGGAGAAAGAGTGTAGCTTTTAGAGCTGGAAAGATTTGGATTTGGAACTCTACTTGTCCATTTACTCTGTCTTGCTTCAGGCAAAGTATTGAACTTCCCCAGCTCTGATTCTTTCCTGAGTAACGATATTAATTCAAGTAATAGCAGTTAACATTTATTGAGCACCTACTACATGCAAGGCAAGGTGCTAGCACATTTATGCATCATCTCATCAAAAATTTGACCAATACTAGGACTCTAGTGATAGGAGAAAAACAAGGTTCAGTGTTTACCTAACCAGTATGTAACAGAGCTAAGACGGGAATCCAGGGTCCTCAAATGACAGAGTCCAAACACCAAGCCAAGTCTCCCTAGCACTTCTTTAGGATGAAGATAGCAATAATGGAATGGATTCATACTTATAGGTTGCTGTGAGATGTTACAGGGACTATATGGCTGGCATGAGCACAGTGGCTGGTGCATGGTATGTGGTTGACATTTTTCTCCCAACCCTGCTCCCATTGCTGCCATTCTGAGTCTCATACTTTCCTGGGAAAAGCTGCCCCAATTCACAGTCCTTTGGAAGCTCTTAGGTAATTACCCAGAGGATTTAATGGCCCTGTTATTGACCTTTCACCCTCCAAATTTAATTTCTGGGCTTGGCCATGCATTATTTCCCACCAGGAAGCCTGGAACTCCGTGACATCAGAGTGTCTTGGGAGAGGGATGCAGGGATTACATGCTGCTAGAAATGATCCTTAGCTCAATTCCAGGTGGCTCTCTCATATAGGGGTCAGGATATGGAACTGGTGGGGATGCTGTTTGTGTGGTGGGGGCTGTGAGGAGAGGATGGCTCCTACTGGTGCCTGGCACATGAGCCGAATCAGAGAAGGGAGGCCTGGGATGTGGCATGGGTCACTGAGGGTCCCTCAGTGGACCCTCCACACACACGACACTGTGTGTTGTGTGCAGCCTCTGCTCAGCCTCCTTGGGAGATATGGGGTGGGGTCTGGGGAGTCAATGAGGACTGTTGTCCCCCACCAGTGACCCAACTAGGCAGAGAGTAAGGCACTAGAGCAGTGGACCTTGGAATCACCTGGAGAGTGTGGGCCAATGCAGGTGCTGAGGTCCTACCCCAGAGTCAGATTCTGTAGTTCTCAGAGTCTGCATTTCAGATAAACCATCCAGGGGATTCTGATTCAGGTGGTTGGATGACCTCACTGTGAGACAGACTGGCCTGGGGGTGCCCATTGCTCTCTGACCGTCCCCTGCCCGGGCTCCCCATGTGCAGAGCCTTGTTCTCTGGGCTATTAGAGAACAAGTGAAGGCAGAGGCAGAGGCAGAGGTGAAGGGAATGAAGCTCAAGTTTTAGGGCTTCTCGACTTGCAGGATGGTGGGGAGAGGGTGGGCTATGAAAGCTGGGAACTGTAGAGTGTCCTAGGTGAAGAGGGGAAGCCAGTTTACGAACAGGAAGCATTTTTATGTAAGGATTTCTGGTAAATGGAATGAAGAAATGTCAGGAGAAAGGGACCCTGAATGTCCAAGGCTCATGTAAATTGTTATCTTCTTGCTGGCCGTAAGTAAATATCACTGTTGTACCTAATTTTGTATTTGGAATTTTGCGGGTTTTTTCTTAAGACGGCCCCACAGAACTGGGATCTTCCCTGACCCCTGCCCTCAGGGAGCTCCCAGGATCCACAGACACCCTTGGAACACAGAAAACCGCAAAGGCAGAGAGACACACGTTGCAGATGGCAGAGCTGTGTGGAACTGCAGGGAGTCTTCAAATTTATCTTGGGTTATATTCCTGGAAAAGGCACTGCAGGTAAAAATGATGTAGGTTGAACCTGTTTTTGCCCAGAAACAATGTGATCATAAAAATTACATTCCTCACCAATGTCCCGGTGCCCAACTTTTTATAGGCATAAGCACAAACACCACAGACACCATATTTAATCAACCATAAATGATACACCTCTACTCTGTTTTTTTTTTAAGATGGAGTCTCGCTCTGCCACCCATGCTGGAGTACAGTGGCAAGATCTTGGTTCACTACAACCTCCACCTCCCAGTTTCAAGCGATTTTCCTGCCTCAGCCTCTCGAATAGCTGGGACTACAGGCGCGTGCCACCACGGCCAGCTAATTTTTGCATTTTTAGTAGAAACGGGGTTTCACTATGTAGGCCAGGCTGGTCTCGAACTCCTGACCTCAAGTGATCCACCCGCCTCAGCCTCCCAAAGTGCTGGAATTACAGGTATGAGCCACCACACCCGGCCCTGTATTTCTTTTTCTTTTCTTTTTTTTCCCTGAGATGGAGTCTTGCTCTGTCACCCAGGCTGGAGTGCGGTGGCACGATCTCGGCTCACTGCAACCTCCGCCTCCCGGGCTCAAGCAGTTCTTTTGCCTCAGCCTCCCAAGTAACTGGGATTACAGGCACCTGCCACCACGTCCAACTAATTTTTGTATTTTTAGTAGAGACGGGGTTTCACCATGTTGACCAGCCTGGTCTCGACCTCGTGATCTGCCCACCTCGGCCTCCCAAAGTGTACTCTGTATTTCTTAAATTGGATTTGAGTATCTAAAACAGTTAAACTGGGCAATAACCAAATCCTCTTCTGTTTAACATATTCAGAAGATTCCTGAAGGAAATGCTTTAGGTAGAAGGGACCATGGGAAGGACTGGAGTGACCACCCTTCCCCCATTCAGAACCTGTATGGGCAAAAAGGGAGGCCTCAGAGGTCTGAAGCTGGGGGACAAGGGTTTTGTGCCCCATGGCACATCTGAAAACAGACCAGCCAGCCAGCACCACTTGCAAGTATATCTGGCCTACTCCGAAGTGCATGACTTTTCAGTTAAGGGCTGCCACGCATACACCAAGACTGGGGGACACTTGAGAGGGCTCTAAGAGCTGAAGTTGGAATGCCATTTGGAGTGCTGATTTAGAAAGTCTTTCTGGAGGAGGAAAATCTTGAGAAGATGCTTGAAGGCAGGACAAAATAGTTAGGCTTCCTGAGAGGTCAGTCCCAGGGACTCTCAAGCATCTTTTGAGTTGACTTTTGACCCACCTCACTGAGACCCATCATAGGCTGTCAAGAAGACTCTGTCCCCAAGTGCCCATCACCCACACCTCCCTTCTGCTTTATTGGTTTTCAAATTGCAGGTAGAGACCCATCAGTGGGTCGCAGCAAGCACTTTTTTAAAAAAATGAAAAAAGGCCGGGTGTGGTGGCTCACTCCTGTTATCCCAGAGCTTTGGGAGGCCAAGGCGGGTAGATAACGAGGTCAGGAGTTGGAGACCAGCCTGGCCAACATGGTGAAACCCCATCTCTACTAAAAATACAAAAATCAGCTGGGTGTGGTGGCACCCGTCTGTAATCCCAGCTACTCAGGAGGCTGAGGCAGGAGAATCACTTGAACCCAGGAGGCAGAGGTGGCAGTAAGTCGAGATCTCGCCGCTGCACTCCAGCCTGGGCAACAGAGTGAGACTCCACCTCAAAAAAAAAAAAAATGAAAAAGAATTTTTGTTGAAATGAAAATGAAACAGGACACATTTCATGAATACTTTTTTTTCATGTAAACACGTGTGTGTGCTGAGTCATGGTGTTCAACGTATATCTTTCCAGATGTCACTATCAAGCCTTGGTTATTTATTTCCAGAGCATGCAAATAAAATACACATGGGGTATCCCATATGGTAAGAATAACATATTTGCCCAAATCCAGCCTTTTTATTTCTGTTGATTGTCTTCTTTTGTAATCAGATTCTATTCATTTCTGAACATTTCACTTCAGAAATGGTTCACAGGACAGAGAAACTGCGACTTCATGTATCCTAATCCTGTTCTTTTCTCTTTGTACTGTCTCTGACCTCTATATTTTCCTTCTTATTTTCTGTCAGAGAAGGAAGTCTTTGTGGTCTTATTTCCAATATTTGAATTAATTCCAACATAGATCTCAGAGCTCATGGGGATGTCTAAAGATCTTTCCTAAGGTCTTTCCCAGCAGCTACTCCATGGGTCTATTTTTTTCTGTCTAAACTAGTGTTTCTGAAACTGTGTGTGCAGAAGAACCACTTGGGGAATTGATTAAAATACAGACTCCTGGGTTTTACCCAGTAAGTCTCAAGTGGGGCTCACGAACTGCATTTTTGACCTTCTCCCCAAGGGATTCTGATGCAGGTGGTCCGAAGACCGTACTTGGAGGAACACTGTAAACCGTGGAGAAAATTCAGCTCCTCCCAGAAAGCTTTCCCCCATTCACTCTTGATTCTGGTCACGCCACTCCACTTCCCTTCTGCAGGAATAGTCTTGGTTTATGCCACTTTATGTTTATTTGCAATCATTTGCATTTTGCCTGAAAAGTTACTTTCTCTGGGTATCCTCCCTCTCTATTAAATGATAAATTCCCCCAAAGAACTGTATCATTCATTGCTATTTCCCTAGAGTGCCCACTGGAGGGCCTTGCTCATGGCAGACTTCCCACAGACTCTACCTGCCTGGGAAGGAAGCCTCTCATCTACCCACTGCCCCTACCAGCCCCTACCTGCTGAGTGGGGATCCCCATCCAGGAGTGCTCAGGGCAGGGGGAATCAGTGTTATGTCCTGGATCAAACAGCATTGTTGATTGGGTGCTTTGGGTCTGACTTTGTCCTCTCCTCTCACCTCCTTAGGAAGAAGTGAATCGTAAAAACTATTGAGTCCAGATGACCCCCTGGGGACTGTAGCTTCATCAAGGGCTATTATATTCTTTCTTGTGTCCAGAAACACATCTAATAGTAGCAAAGACAGAGGGCTGAGCTGTAGGGCTAAAACTCGGTAAGGCAAGCTAGTTCCCCGGGGCACAAAATTTAAGGAGGCACTCACTTTGAGGCGCTGACCCTGTACTTGCAGAACCTGAGGGTTGAGTGCCTCCTTAACTTTTGGCCTAGGCACCTCCCCTGCCTCACCCTAGTCCCAGCCCCACTGGGCGGCCTAAGGCAAGCATCCTGAGGCCTGGATCCAGACAATGAAGAGAGAGAGAGAGAGGAGAGAGAGAGAGAGAGAGAGAGAGAGAGGGAGAGAGAGAGAGAGGGAGAGAGAGAGAGAGAGAGAGAGAGAGAAAGAAAGAAAGAGGGCTGAGGGAGGTGTGGCCTGGAGACAGTCTTGTTGCTAGATGAAGTGGCTCTTCAGGCAGAGGTCAGCTTGGCCCATTCTCCTGTCCATAGGAGCTGGCCTGTATGATAAGCAACTTGGTAAAACTGACCCTGAGTCCCTGAGTCTGTGCTGGGAGCGGTCCGTGTTGCCTCATCCGGTCCTGATGAGGCTCACAGTGCCTATTCCCCCAGCCAGGAAGAGGCCAGAACAAGCCTCAGGCCCATGTCCTCTGATGCTGAGTCCACTGGTTTTGTTTCTCTTTTTGTTTTTTCCCTTCATTTTCCTTCCACAACTCTTCTGCCTTTCATGGAAAAGAGATCCCATATCCCAAGAGTCACTTGTCAAAGGGATTAAAATCTTGACTGTCAGAAAGCTCATCCTTATATTTTATTCTTATTGCTTCTCCTGCCACCAACCACATTCCTTCCTATTTTACCCTCAGGGAACATGAAGAAGAGCCTGTCACTGGTCACTGGCCTCAGTATGTCAGCACCTGGGGACCTTTTGGTTCGTGGTCTTTTCTGTCTTCTTTTTTTCAGTCACATTAATCCATCTCCTTTGCAGAAGATTGTTCTTTATTTCCCCCCCGCCAAAAGAAGAAAAATTAAAAGAGAAGAGGAAGAAAAACAGTAGGAGAAAGAAGAGAAAAACTCCCATCTCCCTGAGCTGAGGGAGACTGACTGTCTGAAGGCAGGAGATGAGGGGGTGACCCCCAAAATGCTGGGTAGCCTCCATGCAGGCCATGACCCTGGGCAGAGTGGGCAGGAGCTCCGCCATTGCTGTGCCTGCCCGCATAAGTGGCTCTCGGACCAAATCCCTTCCCGGGCCCCAGACCCGAACCTCTCCCTTGGCATGTCCCAACGTGAAGGGAAGATGGTGAAGTGGCCACTGGAGAGAGGTCTCTTCCCACCTGGCTTATCTGGCTCACTCGGATACCTCCGCCATGGAGGAGTGGGATTTTCAGACCCCAGACGAGAGAACAGAAAGCTGAAGACTGGGGTCATGAACCCTTCCCCTCTCCTTCCCGCGGCCCTGCCATCAGAGATGGTGTGGCATCCCCATACATTGAGTCGGGTGGCTGGAGTGAATGACTAATGCATGTCATTTTCAAGCTGCTCTCTCTGAACAGGAAAGTACATTCAGATCCAGGTTTTAATTGTGTGTGATTTTAGCTGAGATGGCGTTAATTTATTTCCTTTGCTACTTCAGCGCTTCTTCCTCTTTCATCACGGTGAAATTATCTGGAATGTATCTTTTTTTTCTTAAGGACAAAGAGAAGAAGCTGATCTTGCTCCTTTTCCACTGATTGAGGTTTAGAACATTTTAGGGGCTGCCAGATGCTGTTTAGCGGGTGCTTCAGGATGGAGACCCTGTGGTCTCCTGCTGCCTACTTCCTGCTCTCCTACTACCGCATTTGGCGAAGGGAATGCTTCATGCTGAGGGACCCCTACTGCCCAGGCCGACCCCCTGACAAATCCACCAACACGGGGGAGTTTTCAGCCAGGTCTGGCTCCAGGCAGTTTCCAAAGCAAGGGGAGCTTTCTTCCTAGCATGACCTTCAGAGAATAGCAGAACAACCTGACACTCACAAAAGACTTCTTGGAGGAAGGAGACAGCATTTCAAAGAGAGATGAGAAGAGAGGCATCTAAGGCCCCCTGACTGGTGTTCCGAAGGTTGCACTTTCTGACTTTGCATGGGAGAGGGTCTGTCAATTGAGAAAGTGCATAGGGCCAGGTGATTATGATAACCCCCCAATACAATATTTAAAATCATTTTTTCTTTTCACTCAAACTTTCTTTGTAATAAACAAAAATACTATACATACTTTTGGGGATTCTACTGCATTTTGCTCCAGAATTTGTCCTCAGTTGAGAGTTGGTTCTTTTCTATGTCTCTGCACTAGCTAAGACCATTTTATCAAGCCTGACTTACTCTAGTTTTTATTATAAAAATTAAATTAAAATACTTTTTATTTTATTTTAATACTAATTTCAAATATAGAATTATAGCATCATGTTGAATATGCTTTTTCAAACTCTACTTAAATCCCAAATTGGAGATTCAGCTCCCTCACCCCTCCCTACTGGAGAATTGCTGAATGGCTGCCTTAATCTCTAGCACAGGAAATCAAGAAAGCATTGGCCATCTTGGGCTGAGACTATTAAAGCACCCTTTTGTCTCTTGTCCAAGTAGCTCTCCCTATTCTGTGAAATCAGAGTCTTCTTTGGTTATTCTGGCACATAGTAGGAAATTCAACAAACAAATGTTGCATAAATTTTACCCTTTTAAACTATTGTGCTGTGCCTGGCACAGGGCAGGCACCTGGCACCTGACAAGGTGCCCAGTATTAGCCATTGTTCCTAAGGCCTTGACACCCTGCCTCATCCACATGCCCTATAACCTGCTCTGTGTTAAGAAGCTCTAGCTGGTAGGATGGTAATTTTCCTAAGGTATCCTAGGACTTCACAAGACCGAAGTCCTCAACATCCTGATTGGCACAACTTATGATTCACCTCTAAATGTGACCACCTGTTTAGATACTGGCTTCTTTGGTTTTGGTCCGAGGCCTGTGCACATAGTAGGGCCTCAGCAAATGTTTATTGAGGGAATGAGGGAATGAGCTGGTGTCCTCCACTTGGCAGCCCCTCCAGTCACGTGACACAGAGCCTGAGGGAGGCTGGGGCCGGACCACAAAACTCCTTAGTGAACAACTAAGCCTCTTTGATTGCGCTGTTTGTGTACAGGGCTCTGATTTACCAGTACACTATTATGGCTTGAGAATCATTCTGGGCAGCCTATCTTTCCAGCATGGTTAGAGGTTTATTGGAGGCCAGTGTCACTCTGCTGATTAAAATTTGTTTCTGAGTTCTCCGTAGGTTGCTTTGAATAGCTTTGGAGTTCAGATAGCTCTTCCTTCCAATTGCCTTTGGTCATGTCCCAGCTGTGTCAGCTGCAGTCTCAGTCTCTCTAGGGTGATCATTATCTGTTCCCTTCCCAGCCAGGCCCCAGCCGAGACTTAATGGACACCTCTGACCCTGCAATGGAGACCCCCTGCCATGGTTCCCAGATGTTCCTAACTGTCCATTTACCCCCAACTGCCGTTTCTTAAAAACTTAACATATACTTACCCATATGATCCAGCAATCACCTTACTAAACATTTGCCCAAAGAAATGAACACATGTCCACACAAAAACCTGTACATGATGGTTCATAGCAGTTTTATTTGTAATGGCCCCAAGTTGGAAACAACCCAAATGTCATTCAATGGTTGAATGATTAGACAAATTGTGGTACATCTTGCCACTGGATACTATTCAACAACAAAAAGGAATGAACTATTGATACATGCAACAACTTGGATAGATCTCAAGGGCATTGTGTTGAGTGAAGAAAAGGTAATTTCAAAGGTACTGCATGACTCCATTCATAAGACATTCTCAAAATGACAAAATTACACAGATGGAGAACAGATGAGTGGTTTCCAGGGCTTGGGGATGAAGGATATGGTATGACTATAAAAGGAGAGCGTGAGGGATCTTTGTGAATGGAACAGTTCCGTGTCTTGATTATGGCGTGATTACATGAATCTTCACACGTGGTAAAATTGCATGGAACTAAACACACACGCGCGCACGCGCGCGCGCGCACACACACATACGCAATTGAGTTCTTTAAAACCGGCAAAATCTGAATGAGATCTGTAGATTGTATTGTAACTGTAACAGGTCCATGGCCCGATGTGTGTGGCAAGTCAATATGCTGAGACACCAGGCTGCAGCTGAGAAAGAAATTTAATCTTGGGGACACCGAATGAGGAGATAGGAGAAAACCTCAAATCCATCTCCCCAAGGAGTCCAGGGCTAGGGTTTTTAAGGGTTTTGGAGTGAGCCAAAGTGGGGATTGTTGACTGGTCACAGAATACAGAGAAGTCATGGGACGGGGAGATAAAGAAATTGTATTTTTGGGATGAGTCTGTTCCTCGGTGGGGGTCTTCAAACTGACTGACACCAGCTGTTTCACTGGAATTTGGTATCTGAAAAACATCTTGAGCAATTCTTAAACAAAAGCTGAGTGAATCTAACATCAGAAATTCCATCTATAGGAACGACGGGGATGCAAGTGGTCAGTATCCCGTGTTGCACGACTTTTGGTTACAATGAAGTGGATCAAAGTGCAGCCTGATTAAAGTTTAATTATAACTCTATTTCTGTCCAGAATTCTTGTTAACCCTGTGAGGACAGATTCAGTTCAAATGTCCCTTTGCTGCTTTTGATATTTTAACCAATGAAATGAATAAATTATATTTCTCAATATAATATGATATATTTTACTGTAGTTATGTAAGATATTACTGGTGGGGAAAATTGGGTGAAGGGTACGTGGGACTGCTCTCTACTATTTTGCAACTTCCTATGAATCTATAATCGTTTCAAAATAAATGTTTTTTAAAAAAGAAACTTCAGCTTTTATATTCCCACTGTTTGTCAGCCCCCAGTCTGCCTTTGATCTTGGCATGACGTTCGGGGTGGTTTCAGAAGAGCCAGATTCTTCTGGCATTCTCAAATATTAAGAATATAGCTAAAATGCTTTACTTCTCCTAACCTACAATGAATCCATTTTCCCCAAGTCATCATAATCTCATTTGGGAGCCCTGTATATTTCTGACTCCTGCCTCCTCTTGGGGTATTGTATTCTAAGTGGATTATCTACCCTGTGAAGTAGAACTATAAACTTATTTTGCTTATTTGTTTATCCTAAGCCTAATCAGCTTCACCTTCAAGTTTAAGGAAGATCCTGAATTCAATTACTATAGGACTTGCCTTCTGCTGCTGCTTTGTTTTTGGGCCAAGTCTGCGTTCCTTGATCCCGTGACGTGCTCCTGGTGATGCCAGGCTTGGCCCTGCAGTTGGCAGGGAGTATATAATCCTCCCTGCCCTAGGCGCTGAAAGAGCCGTTCCAAGGCTTGATTCATTCAATCACCCTCATCCCCTCCCTACAACCCAGGAACAACCTAGGAGCTCAGAACTCTCACTTTTCTGCCCAAATGTCTGGAAGAGAAAGACATAGGCTTTTTCCTGTTCCATCACACTTTGGCCCTGTGCATTACCATCTAGGCCCACCCCCAACTTTTTTTTTTTTTTTTTTTTTTTTGAGATGGAGTCTCGCTCTGTCGCCCAGGCTGGAGTGCAGTGGCCCGATCTTGGCTCACTGCAAGCTCCACCTCCCGGGTTCACGCCATTGTCTTGCCTCAGCCTCCAGAGTAGCTGGGACTACAGGCGCCTGCCACCACGCCCGGCTAATTTTTTGTATTTTTAGTAGAGACGGGGTTTCATCGTGTTAGCCAGGACGGTCTCAATCTCCTGACCTCATGATCCACCCTCCTCAGCCTCTCAAAGTGCTGGGATTACAGGCTTGAGCCACCACACCCGGCCCTCACCCCTATCTTTTGAATCCTGATCTTGTGGGGCTCCAGGAAGGTAGACAATCAGCCAGGAGAGCGTCTCACTCTTTTTCTTATCTCCTTTCAAACAGACTAGGCTTACCTGGACAGACCCCACAGTGATTTAGGGCAGAAAAGGTCTGCAACCAAGCATGCAACTTCATGCTGTCTCTCTTGGAGTACAAGTTCCAGAAGTTTATTTCCAGTGGGCAGTTCTGGTTTGTTAACTGGGAGAGTTTGGTGACAACAGGATGTGGGATTCTACCTGAGCTTCCCTGGCAAAAACTTGGAATCCATGCCCCACTCTCTACTTCCCATGGGCCAATTCTTCAGGAGGGGTTGAGGGGTAGGAGAAGCTCAAGAAAAAGACGTCCTTGGCCTTCTGGGAGCCACTTTGTCTTTCGATGCTCTGGCATTTTGAAGCACTGAGTTTATACTCTGAAGGATTACCCCTGCCCGGGGGCAGGAAGGCTGAGCTGCTGAGGGTGTGGACAGTTGGTATGACACTGAGGAGTATTGTGGGCACACTGGAAACATCCCCTGATGGGTTAAACACCCAGCACACACACACACACACACACACACACACACACACACACTCACACTCACACTCACCTGATGGGCCTGAGCATGCTTCTCTCTGCCATCTAGCCTGGCAAGCGGCTAAGGACACAAAGGATAAGGCCCATCTGACCTTGTTTGAGCCCTGACCCTGCCACTTCCTGGCCACGTGACTTTGGGCAAGTCTTGTAAACACTCTTTACTTCCATTTCTTTATCTTTAAATAGGCGTAATGAATAGCATGCATCTACCTGATAGGGTTGTCATGAGTATTAGAAGAGAATATATATAAAGTACCTAATCTGGTCCCTGGCATTTAGTGAGGCCTCAGTAAATGCAAGTGATTTTGACAATGCTGATCATGATGATAGTGAGTATGAATGTTTTGAAATCATTCCGTATATGCGTCCCTCATGTTTCAGCTTAGACACCACTTCCTCTAGGAAACCCTGCCAGACTCCACAGGGATAGATCAAGAGCCCTTCCTCTGGGTCCCCTACCACCCTATATTGTCTACCCTAACATTTTCACATTGCACTGTTTTGCCAACTAGACTGAGTTGAGAG